>NC_000006.12:4453939-4605454 GCF_000001405.40 Homo sapiens | reverse complement strand
AAACAACAGAAATTTATTTTTTCACGGTTTTGGAGGCTGGAAGTCTGAAATCGAGGTGTTGGTGGGGCCATGCTGTCTGCAGGTTCTAGGGAGGGGGTCAGCTCCATGCCCTTGCCTTTACTTCTGCTGTTGCCAACAATCCGTGGGGTTCCGTGGTGCATCAGCGTCACTCCAGCCTCTGCCTTCACAATCAGGTATGCTCTCCCTGCATGCCTCTGTGTCTCCTCTTCTCTCTTATAAAATCACCAATCCTATTAGATCAAGGCCCAACCAAATCTATTATGACCTCACTTTACCTTCATTACATCTGCAAACACCCTATTGGCAAATGTGGTCACAATCACAGGTACCAGGGGTTGGGATGTCACCATATGTTTTGGGAGGACACAGATTCAACCTACAGCAGACAGTTTTTAACGTTTCCTAAAAGTGGGACTCCAATGAACAGGGCTTGGGAAATGCTGTCCCCAAAATTGAAAATTTATTAATAATTAGGATTCACTAACCAGATACATGATAAAACCTTTAGGCCAGGGGTTCTGAACCTGATACCAAGGGATTCATGGTCTTGAATGAGAAAAAAAATTATTTATTTGTACTAATTGCTAACTGAAATTTAGCATTTCTTTCACGTATGAGCATAGGCAACAAACCACAGTAATATCAGTAGTTCCTGTGAATTTGTTACCAAAGAAATCACAGAAATTTTCTTCTCACACTATAGTTGTTGCAGATATCTTGGGAAGTCACTTATTCTCGTTGCCATTTCAAAATCATGGTGGTTATTAGAGCTGCCAGTAGACCTTATTTAATGTGTTAATGAGGAAACAAATGTAATAATGTAAAATATTTTAGTATCTTGATAGCTGTATTTCCTTTTAATCATTTGTGTTTTGTTTATTGAAAACACTATTCTGGCCTGGTGTGGTGGTTCATGCCTGTAATCTCAGCACTTTGGGTGGTCAAGGCAAGAGGATCACTTGAGTTCAGGAGTTCGAGACCAACCTAGACTGTATAGTGAGATCCCGTCTCTACTAAAAATACCAAAATTAGCCAGGTGTGGTAGTGTGCACTTGTAGTCCCAGCTACTTGGAAGGCTGAGGTGGGAAGATCACTTGAGCCTGGGAGGCAGAGGTTGCAGTGAGCCATGATGGCACCACTGCACTCAAGCCTGGGTGACAAAGTGAGACCCTGTTAAGAAAAAGAGAAAGAAAGAAGGAAAGAGAGAAAGAAAAGAAAGAAAGAAGAGAGAGAGAAAGGAAGAGAAAAAGAAACAAAGAAAGAAAGAAAGGGAGGGAGGGAGAAGGAAGAAGGAAAGAAAAAGAGAAGAGAAGAGAGACCGTAAGCTTTACCAGCCAGCCAAAGGGGTCATGCCCTAAAAATGTTAAGAATCTCTGTCTCCACTTATGGCTCTCATAGCCCAAACAGGCCAGCTTCCCACAGAGGGTTTAACCAAGAGATACACAATAGCAGAATCTTTCCATTTTTACAATTAAAATACAACTGATAAATCAGTCAAATGTGGATATCATCATTTTATTTGTAAATAAAATATCAAAATAGGACAAAATATAAAAATAAAATGCACAGAGGCACAACAAAATGTTCCATTAATCCAATAATCTTCCATTGTTTTCACTGTATTCTTTATAAATAGGTCACATTACCAAGGAAAGATTTGTCTAAATATTGAGTTCATTTGGAAACTCTCGATATGCCTTGGAGTATCTGAATCATTTACCAGGAAACACATTTTGGTATGTGTATGTGTTCAAAGATATCAAATAGTTGAATATATTCTGTTCCTGTAAGGAATAGATCTGGGTTTGCCCAAGATAGAGGGGTTTCCTGAGACATGGGACTTCCCCTGCAAAAACTGGGAAGTCCTGGGCAAACAGGGAAGAGCTGGGCCAAATTTCTCAACTTCGTGTATGAACATGGTTGTGCTGCGGCCGGAGTTTTGGTAGAAACCACCATGACTCATAGTCCCCCAGAGGAGATCTCAGGAGCACTTTGGCCTTGTGAAGGCCAAATTCCAGCCCGGCTCTGCCTCAGCACCCTCCCAGAACCAGGCACCTCACGTAATCTTCTGAGCCTGTTTCCTCATCTGTGAAACATGGAGACGCCGGTGGGTGCCCTGCCCCTCCCAGGGCTCCTGGAGGATTCCAATGAGATAAGTGTTGTGAAAGCACTTTGTAAACTGCAAGTGTGCCGCAGAAATGCAAAATACAGAACAATTCTTTAATCTCACGTGGCAGCAGCAAAATATGTGTGCATCCATGGCACACTTTTGTATTATAAGAAGGATGTTAGCCCATCCCTTTAGTCCTTTCTTTCATGGACACTCAAACCCCAGATCCCCTATCATTAAGAGCGCAGCAAGGCTGTGGGGAAGTAGGCCTGGGTGTCCCTGGGCTTTTGTCTGCCACCTCCTTCCCCTCAAGGTGCCCCAGCGCCCTCATCCTGCCTCCTCCCCGGCCAAACTCTCCTTCTTGTATCCCACCTAGAGCCTGCAAGCATGGTCTGTCCTTCAAAACATGCCCGCTGTATGCCATTCCTACTGGACAGGAGTCCTCGCTGTCAGCTGCATGTTAGAGCCACTGGGGAAGCTTTCACTGTCCCCATGCTGGGACTTCCACTGATGATTGCATCAGAATCTCTGGGGGAGGGCTTCAGACACCCCAGGTATTATATTGTATAGCTTGGATTGAAAACACAACTTGAGTGTTGCCTGGAGGTTAATTAGAAAAAGGACTCCCCATTCATCTGTTAGCGAGCGATGTTGTTACCCCACCCACAGAGCCCTTTGCTTGAATCCAGGCAACCTACCAGGCTCCTGAACAGTCTTCTCAAAGAAGTGTTTCTTGAAGGTCTCCAGTGCACCTCACCCTGGGCTCCACCGGCCCTCATTACGCTGCCATGGATGACGTTAGCCTCATCTTCAGTTGAGAAAGCTGAGACTCAGCAAGTTTCCTTGTAACTAGGGAGGGGCAGGGCAGTGGTTTAAAATAAAGCCATGCACACCTCCTTCCCCAGAGCATCCAGTGCCTTGCTGATGGAAAAGCCACCGCTGCTGAGAAAGGCAGCTGTGCCTGGGCCCCGCAGGTCACACTGGAGTCCTCACCTCCATCTCTGCATTCTGGTGCATTTGGAAGAGGATTTCTAGAGGTGGGAGAGGAGATGTAACTTCCCCCACCTCCTTCGCATCTTCTAACAGTTGCAGCCTCCTCTGCTTTGCGCATTCACAGGGAGGAGCATGGGCAGCACCTGCATGGGTGGCACACAGCCTCAGCCTGCAGGAGCATACACACCCCAACAGCACTCGTTCTGCAGCTGTGGCCTGCACCTTCCTCAACCCCTGGCCCCTCATCTAGGCTGTTACAGGGGAACTGGAATCCACCCGGCTCAGGGCCCAGGTACTTCCGCAAGAGGCTGTTGCCCTAAGGTAAGGCTCTGACGTTCCAAGTCTTAGGCATCCAGTATTTTGGTGGGATTTGAAAGACCTTACAGAAGAGACCCTCCTATTGTGCCCCAATGAGTCCTCCCAAATCCATGCAGTTCCCAGTTTCTTGCAGGTCCCCAGTGTACCTCACCCTGGGCTCCACCGACCCTCGTGATGCTCCTGGGGGTGATGCTGGCCTCATCTTCAGTTGAGAAAGCTGAGGCTCAGCAAGGTTCCTTGAAGAGCCACTCCTTTCCCAAACTATGCCATCCCCAAGAGTCCTGTGCTGAAGTGTTTAGAATCCATGATGATTTGTCCATTTGCCTGTTGTCTGGCGTGATCCCTTGTAGAACTCCGTAATACAGCATGAAAGTCCTCTGAGGCCTAGAGTCTTAATTCCATGCTCTTGGGCCCAGTGCACACCAGTGTTCTTGTCAATGAAATGATGAGTTTCATCTTTTCCTCACATATTTCTACAGTACTGAGGTTGGGATCATTTGAGATAATGGACAAGAAATTGATTTTTGTACAACAAAGTCCGTCTGACAATGTGTGAGATAGTTTCATTACTGTCACTGGGAAAAAAAATTTGTATTGGTCTGCTTTCCAATATGGCAACTGACTGAGAGCAAGAAAGACAAAGAATGTTTCAGTTTCTGAAGGGCAAGTTTGGAGAGAAAATTCCTGCCCATAGAGGTCATGTGGCTGAGGTTGAATGCTGTGGTGAGAAGCTCCTGGTATCCTGAGGACTACCTCAGAGTTTTGGGAATTTGGAGAAGGCAGCCAAAGTGTGGAGGAAAGAAAATTAAAAGGGAGAAGAAAGAGAACTCACTTATTTTGCATTTTGTCAACAGCTCAGCCCATCCTGAGACAGGTGATGAAGACATGGCAAGCCTTCCAGAAGCTGCTGTGTGTGTGTGTGTGTGTGTGTGTGTGTGTGTGTGTTTCAGACTCGGTAGGAAAGGATGGGCCATTGACAAGAATAACACAGACCAGCAGGCAGAGCAGGCATCACAGGAGACGCCCTAAAGGACAATAAGGAAGCAGGCTTGTGTGCAGCTGGGCCTGGCCTCCCTGGTGTGAACTGACTGGCTGGCACCAGGCAAGGTAGGCCGGACCTAGGGTGTGGTGGCTCATGAGGCCATTAGAGCATCTGTCAGGCCCAGCACCCAGGGCTTGTGCAGTGGGGCAGGCCCTACCCTTGCAACCGTGCAGGGAGAGGGTGAACTCAATCCAGAGCACTTCCTTCTTAGGGGGCCACATGTCCGTTGTGATTTCAGGGATTTGAGCACCTGCTTTTTCTGGCATATATTCTGTGGTCTTGTGGACACAGTATTGGCTGTGGCCCAGGCTCTGCCCTGGTTCTCTTCCCGACAGACTGTGTGGCCATGGGCAAGTCGCATCACTTCTCTGGGCTGCCACATCCTCTTTGATAAGACGATGAGGTTGGGCTAGATGACCTCTAGAATCCCTTCCGACTTGCTGTCAGATTGCTCTAGGATCCAAGATTCGTTTCTAAGACAATATTGAGAGGCAATACGGCCTATATGGCTGGATCCTGTGAGACGGGGGTTTACACACATTCTGATGCTGTACAATCTTCACGTTAAAAGCAAATACTGGAATATGGCATTCCTCAAAAAAATTAAACGTAAAATTACCATATGATCCAGCAATTCTACTTCCTAATACATATGCAGATGAATTGGAAGCAGAGTGTCAAACAGATAGTTGTACACCCATGTTCATAGCAGCATTACTCACAATAACCAAAGGATGGAAACAAACCAAGTATCCACCAACAGATGAATGGATAAAAAAAAGTGACATATCACAAAGGAATGTGATTCAACCTTAAAAAGGAAGGACATTCTGATACATGCTACAACATGGATGGACCTGGAGGACAATGTGTTGAGTGAAATAAGCCAGATACAAAAGGTCAAATACTGTATGATTCCGCTTACATGAGTCATCACCTTCCTAGAGACATGAAGTAGAAAGGTGGCTGCCAGGGACTGGGGCACTCACTGGGTAATCGGAAGTTACTTCTTCATGGATGCAGATTTTCACCTTGGGAAGATGAAAAATGTTCTGAAAATGGTGCTGGAGGTTGCACAACAATGTGAATGTATTTAATGTCACTGAAATTTACACTTAAAAATGGTTAAAACTTTATGGTATGTATATTTACCACAGTACAAAAAGCATGGCCGGGTGTGGTGGCTCATGCCTGTAATCCCAACACTTTGGGAGGCCGAGGCGGGCGGATCACTTGAGGTCGGGAGTTTGAGATCGGCCTGGCCAACATGGTGAAACCCTGTCTCCACTAAAAATACAAGAATTAGTTGGGTGTGGTGGTGCACGCCTGTAATCCCAGCTACTCGGGAGGCTGAGGCAGGAGAATGGCTGGAACCTGGGAGGTGGAGGTTACAGTGAGCCGAGATCATGCTACTGAACTCTAGCCCCTGGGTGACAGAGCGGGACTCTGTCTCAAACAAACAAACAAAAAACAAACTCCAAAACCAAAAAACAAACAAAAAACCCAAAACAAAAAACAAACCGAAATGCAAATACTAGGATGTTTATGTATCTTAACATGTTAAATTTAGTATAAGAAATAATTGTAAATCATAATTTGTGCTGGCATATAGCCCTCTTGTTTGATATGAGTGAAACTAATCATTGAATAATTAATTTGAAAAATTAAAGTGGGAAATTACTAGAATGATGCTTCTATACTCTATTTATTCACCAATCATCAGATTCTTTCTTCGTACTTAGGTTTGCTGAGAATTCAGCATGGTCTTTCTTACATAAACCACACTCAAAGTACATCATTTACAAATTCCAGTTTCAGAGTCTTTAACATAGAATTTGTTAGAAATCTTAGAGATCTTAGAGACACTTAAGAAGAACAATGAATGCAGATTCCTTCTAGGTTTCCTGACCCTTCCCCAAGCCCAATTCTTTCATAATTGCATTGCCCCACCTAATTCCATATCTATATCAAATCTATATCTATATCACTATCAGTTTATATAAGAGTTTAAACAACTAAGCTTTATAAAGTTTTCCCAAAGCATTCAAGTTATTATGGAAATGACAATAACATTCACCACCCACTTCAATGGGCTTGTGGACAAACACAGTTCTCAGTTTGTAAGCACAGAACTCAATTAGAGGAACAGATGTGTACAGCACACTGTAAAATGGGTGAAAAGACAAGCATCAGGTGGGCGAAGACAGTTGCAACACGTATACTGACAAATGACTAGGATTTCAAATATACAGAAAGAACTTAACCAGATTAATATGGAAAAGAAATAACCCAATAAGAAAAGGGGCTTATTAGACAGGCACAAAACCAAAGAGGAAATTCAGATGGTCAACAAACATGAAAAAGTGGCTCAAATTTATTAGTCATCAGGAAAATGCAAACTAAAACTACAATGAGATAGCCTTACACAGGAGACAGGAAAGAACTAAAAATTCTGAAAATACTAATCGTCAGCAAGGGTTTAGAGCCACAGCAACTCTAGCGAAAGTTCTATGAACTTAGAACTTAGAATTCATAGAGTCTAGTGAAACTCTATGAATGCCATTTTGGAAAGCAGTTGCCCTGTCTATGAGATTGAATATCCACATGCTCAGAGATGGATAAATTCCTGGAAAGATACAACCCTCCTAGCTAAAATCAGAAAGAATTAGATACCCCGAACAGACCAATAACAAGCAACGAGGTTGAAATGGTAATTAAAAATGTACCAACAACAGGCTGGGCATGGTGGCTCACAACTGAAATCCCAGCACTTTGGGAGGCCGAGGCCGGTGGATCATGAGGTCAGGAGATCAAGACCATCTTAGCTAACACGGTGAAACCCCATCTCTACTAAAAATACAAAAAATTAGCCAGGCGCGGTGGCGGGCGACTGTGGTCCCAGCTACTCGGGAGGCTGAGGGAGGAGGATGGTGTGAACCTGGGAGGCAGAGCTTGCAGTGAGCTGAGATTTCACTACTGCACTCCAGCCTGGGCGACAGAGCGAGACTCCATCTCAAAAAAAAAAAAAAAAAAATGTACCAACAACAAAGAAGTCCAGGACCAGACAGATTCACAGCAGAATAAGTCCAGGACCAGATAATTCACAGCAAAAATCTTATCAGACATTCAAAGAAGAATTGGTACCAATCCTACTGATGCTATTTCACAAAATAGAGAAAGAGGGAACCCTCCCTAAATCATTTTATGAAGCTAATATCACCCAAATACCAAAACCAGGAAAGAACATAACCAAAAAAGAAAACTACAGACCAATATCCCTATATGCAAAAAAATTTTATCAAAATACTAGCTAACTGAATCTGACAACATATCAAAAAGATAATCCACCATGATCAAGTGGGCTTTATACCAGGAATGAAGGGATCCTTTAACATATGCAAGTCAATAAATATAATACACCACATAAACAGAATTAAAAACAAAAATCACCTGATTATCTCAATAGATGCAGAGAAAGCATTTGACAAAATCCAGCATCACTTTATGTTTAAAACTCTCAGCAAAATCAGCATACAAGGGTCATACCTCAATGTAATAAATGCCGTCTATGACAAACCCACAGCCAATATAATACTGAATGGGAAAAGGTGAAAGCCGTTTCAACTGGAACAATACAAGGATGCTCACCCTCACCACTCCTCTTCAACATAGTCCTAGAAGTCCTAGCCAGAGCAATCAGACAAAAGAAAGAAATAAAGGGCATCCAAACTGGTAAAGAGGAAGTCAAACTGTTGCTGTTTGCTGAGGATATAATTGTTTACTTAGAAAACCCTAAAGATCCCTCCAGAAAGCTCCTAGAACTGATAAAAGAATTCAGCAAAGTTTCTGGATACAAAATTAATGTACACAAATCAGTAGCTCTTCTATAGACCAATAACAACCAAGCTGAGAATCAAATCAAGAACTCAACCCCTTTAACAATAGCTGCAAAAAAGAAAAAAAAAAAAAAGAAAGAAAGAAATACTTAGGTATATACCTAACAAAGGAGGCAAAAGATCTCTATAAAGAAAACTACAAAACACTGCTGAAAGAAATCACAGATGACATAGATGGAAACCTGTCCCATGCTAATGGATGGGTAGAATTGATATTGTGAAAATGACCATACTGCCAAAAGCAATCTACAAATTCATTGCAATTCCCATCAAAATACCACCATCATTCTTCACAGAGTTAGAAAAAACAATTCTAAAATTCATATGGAACCAAAAAAGAGCTCACATAGCCAAAGCAAAACTAAGCAAAAAGAACCAATCTGGAGGCATCACATTACCTGATTTCAAACTATACTATAAGGCCATAGTCACCAAAACAGCATGGTACTGGTATAAAAATAGGCACATAGACAAATGGAACACAACAGAGAACCCAGAAATAAACCCAAATACCTACAGCCAACTAATCTTTGACAAAGCAAACAAAAACAAAGTGGTGAAGGACACCCTTTTCAACAAATGATGCTGGGATAATTGGCTAGCCACATGTAGGAGAAGGAAACTGGATCCTCATCTCTCACCTTATAAAAAATCAACTGAAGATGAATTAAAGACTTAAATCTAAGACCTGAAACTATAAAAATTCTAGAAGATGACATTGGAAAAACCGTATTAGACTTTGGCTTAGGCAAGGATTTCATGAAGAGGCACCAAAAAGCAAATGCAGTAAAAACAAAGATAAATATCTGGGACTTAATTAAACTAAAGAGCTTCTGCACAGCAAAAAGAACAGTCAGCAGAGTAAACAGACAACCCATAGAGTGGGAGAAAATCTTCACAATCTATACATCTGACAAAGAAAGGGCTAATATCCAGAATCTACAACGAACTCAAACAAATCAGCAAGCGGCTTGCAACTTAGCTCACACCCGACAAATCAGATGGTAAGGAGAGTTCACTAAAATGCTAATTAGGCAAAAACAGGAGGTGAAGAAATAGCCAATCATCTGTTGCCTGAGAGCACAGGGGGAGGGACATTGATCAGTATATAAACCCAGGCATTCGAGCCAGCAACGGCAACCCACTTTGGGTCCCCTCCCCTTGTATGGGAGCTCTGTTTTCACTCTATTAAATCTTGCAACTGCAAAAAAAAAAAAAAAAAAAAAAAAGAAAAAAAAGAAAAAAGTGGGCTACGGACATGAATAGACAATTCTCAAAAGAAGATATACAAATGGCCAACAAAAGTGTGAAAAATGCTCAACAACCCTAATTATCAGGGAAATGCAAATCAAAACTACAATGTGATACCACCTTACTCCTTTAAGAATAGCCATAATAAAAAAAATTTAAAAATAGGCTGGGCACGGTGGCTCATGCCTGTAATCCTAGCACTTTGGGAGGCTGAGGCAGGCAGATTGCCTGAGCTCAGGAGTTCAAGACCAGCCTGGGCAACACGGTGAAACCCCGTCTCTACTAAAGTACAAAAACAAAAGTAGCTGGGCATGACGGTGTGCACCTGTAGTCCCAGCTACTCAGGAGGCTGAGGCAGCAGAATTGCTCGAACCCAGCAGGCAGAAGTTGCAGTGAGCCAAGATCATGCCATTGCACTCCAGCCTGGGCGACAGAGCAAGGCTCTGTCTCAAAATAAATAAATAAATAAATAAATAATAAAAAGTAGTAGATGTTGGCATGGATGCAGAGAACAGGGAACACTTCTACACTGTTGGTGGGAATGTAAAGTAGTACAACCACTATGGAAAACAGTGTAGAGATTCCTTAAAGAACTAAAATGAGACCTACCATTTGATCCAGCAATCCCACTACGGGGTATCTACTCAGAGGAAAATAAGTCATGATACGAAAAAGATACTTGCACACGCAGGTTTATAGCAGCACAATTCACAATTGCAAAAACGTGGAACCAACCCAAATGCCCATCAATCAAAGAGTGGATAAAGAAACCGTGATATATATGAATACTACACAGCCATAAAATCATAAAATGGAATAAATTAATGGCATTTTCAGTGACCCGGATGAGATTGGAGACTATTATTCTAAGTAAAGTAACTCAGGCATGGAAAACCAAACATCATATGTTCTCACTCATAAGTGGGAGGTAAACTATGAGGATACAAAGGCATAAGAATGACACAATGGGCTTTGGGGACTCGGGGAAAAGGTGGGAAGGGGGTGATGGATAAAAGACTATAAATAGAGTGCAGTCTGTATTGCTCGGGTGGTGGGTGCAACCAAAATCTCACAAATCACCACTGAAGAACTGACTCATGTAACCAAACACCACCTGTTCCTCAATTACCTATGGAAATAAAAAAATTAAAAAAAAAATCCACATACTCTATGGCCCAGCAATTCCACTCTTAGGTGCATACCTAGAGAACCTTAGGCAAATGCACAGCAAGGTCTGCAACGTACAAGAATACTCATGGCAGCCTGGTTCACCTCAGCTGCATTGGGAAGCAATCCAAATATTCATCACCTATAGAATGGACATGTGAAGTGTCACATGGCCAAACAATAAAATACTACAAAACAATGAAAATGGACACACCACTACACAAGCAACATGAGAGAATCTTAGAACAGAAGCAAGACAAAGAATACAATGTGATCACATTTATATAAAGTTAAAAAGCAGGTAAAATGAAACTCTGGTACATATCACTTGGTGATGTAGACCTAGGTGGTTACCTCTTAGGAGTAGGGGAACAAGAGGGCTTCTGGGTATTAGCAATGAACCCTCAAGAGGAGTTACAGAGTTCGCTTTCTGATTATTCATTAAGCACTATGTATATGGCATTGCTTATGTAAGTGTATGTAAATTTTGATGCAATAATTCACACAAAAAATGGGGAAATAAGAATGTGGGTGTGTTGGTGAGTGGCTTCCTTGCTGTCTGGGTTCATAAGCATCATGGAATGTTTTCTGGAGGGAACAGAGAACAGTGGTTAATCTGGTGACATAGTCAAGGTGGAGCTGGGGTGGAAGAGAAGAGGGGGTGTCTGAAAAAACATGATAAAAAGGAAATACCAATATATTAAGGTTAAGAATAGAGGCTCTGAGGAGCTATTATAACAGTTTTCATTTTACATTGTTTGTTACCTAAACCACAGTGTGACAAATCAAATGCATTTTCCTCTTCTGGGTGACATTGGGTTTTTTCTCTGGCCTAGTCTTTGTATTTGGGAGAAAATGAACATTTTCTAGGTATTTTATAATTTGGATAAAGGCAGGGAAAGGAATTGGATTCAGACTTAATCTTATCACAATATGTAAAGCATAATAAGGGGAGGTAATCTCACAAAATATTCAAAGCCTGCCTGTACTTCCAAAAAGGTCCCCCTGGAACCTCCACAAGCTCCCAGAAAAAGCTGGGCTTTTGGCAAGGAGTTTGGAAACCCTGCTGTAGTACCCAAGGATCCAGCAATGGGGTCTTAGTGGGGAAAAGGGCCGCTGATCCTCTTGTAGGAAAGTCAGGTGGCTGTAGGAGTGGGTGAGATAGTGGGGCTGAGGGTCTCTTTAGTCCTGGGCAGATGAGGAGTCTGCCCGAGTGGAGAATGTCAGGGACTGAAAGCCGCGCTGTAGCTCATGGACAGACATTAAAGAGGGCAGCCAGAAGAGAACAGGAAAGGTTTATTACCACCCCAAATAGCAGAGCTGTTGAACAACTTCTCTGATAGTAAAACAAAGGGATAGAGATGTCCCCTCGGGCCCTTCCCACTGTGTTAATCTAAGGATTTATGAAGGGAATGAAGGGTTGGGTATGCTACTTTCATGTGAAGTCAGTGAGGCTGAAGGAAAAGCACCATCCCCAGAGCAAATGGACCTGTGCCCCAGAGCCAGGCCCTGCGGTGGGGCCTGGGAGTCTGCATTTCTCACAAGCTCCCTGTGTCACTGATGTTACTGACCTGGAGACCACAATTGAAACCACCTTTGCAAAATTATGACAGTAAGAGATATCTGACATAGTTGACTCCATCTTGCTTCTGATCTGCAAGCTGTCCTTGGCCATTCCTGGGCATAGACCAAGCTAACTTTGGGAGGAATTTAGTTTATAGTTTATCTTGAAAGCAAGGACAATAATAGTCCTGCCTTAAAACTAACCCCCTCCTTGCTCAGGGACTGCCTTTGTAAGACTAATGAAAGGCCAGAAGAATAGGATTATGAGAAGGGCCTCAACTCAGCAGCATCAATATCATCATCAACATCATTATCATTATCATCATCAACACCACCATCATCAGCAGCATCTGCAGCATCCACATCATCATATCCAAATAGTTAACATTTCTTAAACCTCTCTCTGGGCCAGGAACTGTTTGAAGGGCTTTACATACATTAACTCATTTAATCCTTATGACAACTTTTGAGGTAGAAATTACTATCTCTTTTTTCCCCCACAAATGAAGAAACTGAGGCACAGATGTTAAGTATTGTTCCTAAGGTTGCATGGCTAGTGAATAATACTATATGACAGATGCTGAGCTAAGCCCATGTAATCCTCACAACAGGTATGAATTATTACTATGCTTATTTTAGGGGTGAAGAAATGGATGCTCAGAAAAGTGAAGTGACTTGCCCATGTTCTGCAAGGTAGGAAATAGTGGAGGCAGGATTCACATATGGGGCTTCAGGCTCTTCCCTTTAACTATGCCAACTGCAGTCAGATCTTTGCCTCCACTTTTGTCTAATAACACATTCTTATAACTCTAGCCTAGCTCTACCATCTCTCATAGCTGCTGACTCAAGGATCTGATGGAGAGAAGAGGAACTGGTCTCCCTCCACTCCCTTCCCCCAGCACCAAGGACAACCTTCTTTCATGTGATCTGTGCTAATGTGTGTTTGTTGAATTAAATTCTTGCGAGCGTCCAAATGGAGCTCAAAGAGCTTTGGGGAGTCAGAGAAATGAGACCTTCTGAGGGATTATTTTGGCCAGGGGAATGGGGATAGATTTCATGAAAGGGAAAAAACCTGAGGTAGGCCTTGAAGAATAACTGGGGAGTGGGGATGAAGTTGGATTTGAGAGAGCAGGTTGCAAAGGCACAAGGCAGCAAGGATGAGGTGTGTTTGGGGAGTGGGGTGATGCTGGTTTGCCTGGGTCTGTGGACGATTAGAGGGGAGGAGTTACACTGAGGTAGAATTGAGGAGGTCCCTACTACTGCTACGAACAGGGACAGTGGACTTCATCTCGTAGGCGATTAAGAAGGCAAATTATGTTGAAATAGAGGCATGCCTGGGTTAAATACTGGCCTGGCGGCAGAATATAGGCTGGGCTGAGCAAATGATTGGCTGGAGCCAGGGGAATGAGTTAGGGGCCGGTACAGGAGGTCTAGGCAGGTGGTGAAAAGGATCAGATACACAGAGTTGGGAGGGAAGACAGAAAGCAAGAAGCAAGTGATGATCCAAGAAAGAAAAAGCAGGTGTTGGCTATAGAGTGAGTTGAGGGCTGCGGGTGGGGACCGAGATGACCTAGGTTTTCAAGATCCAATGACGAGGAGAATGAATGGAAAAACAGCTGGTGTGTGGGGCGGATAATGAGCTGTTTCCCACTTGCTGGGTTGAGGTGCTGGTGGGACGTGGGTGGAAACATCTGCAGCTCCCTGGGAATTTGGAGAGAGATTGGGGCTGGTGCAACAGATTCAGGAGACAAGGGCTAGAAGGGAGCCCTGGATGTGGATTGTCCCCAGAGGGAAGAGTGTGAAGCAGGAAACAGAGAAGATGGTATTGGGCAAAGGTCCATGCTTAGGAAGACGGAAAAAGAAGATGGCATGAGCCAGAATCAAAGGATCATAGACAATTTTGTCAGTCTGTAGATGAAGAAATCTGGTTTTCAGCTCTGTCCATTCGGCCCTACAGTTCCCACAGCCAAGCCATGTTTAGCTTCATCTTTAGGACTGGGCCAGTCCTGTGTTTTATGAGGACACCCATCTTTCTGGTTTTAAGTGACTCCAAGAAGTTAACTGGCTTGTTGAGTAGGCCTCTGTTACACATTTTCTCTTTGTTGCTAAAACCTGTAATGGCAGGGGGGAAAAGCATTGTGAACATGAATGCCTGTGAGTCTGCATGAGAAAGGATAATAAAAAATCCCTACAGCGCTCTTTGTATATGTCAGTCACTCTGCTAGGCATTTTGCAAGCATTATCTCATTTAATCTCTACTCCACTGGATCAGGTGTTATCCTATTCCCATTTAACAGAAAGGAAACGGATACCCGGAGTGGGTAAATCTCAAAGCTAGTGGGTGACAGAGGGCTGGAGTCCAGGCAGGCTAACCCCAAAGCTCTGGTCTTTTTTTAAAAATATATTTATTTATTTATTTTGATCAAGATGGGGTCTCACTATGTTGACCAGGCTGGTCTCGAACTCCTAACCTCAAGGAATTCTCCCATCTTGGCCTCCCAAAGTGTTGGGATTACAGGCAGAACCCACTGAGCCTGACCCCAAAGCCCTAGCTTTTAACTGCTACGTTATCCTGAGAAAGAAAAGAAACAGGAATGAGAATGGGATGTAAGAGAGATGAGGGTGAGAGAACTTTCCAGAAGGTTAGTTGAAAGTGGTAATTGCCAAAGATACCTTGAACTGAGAGTGGGAGAGGTCTCCAAGTCCATAAAGCCAGCAGAAGGTCTTTATCCCCTAGAGATAAAGGAGGGCTTAGGGTCTCCTGGGACTGCTGGTGCTTTGTGCCAATCTCCCCACTAAGGATATGCAGGAACCATCTCTGGGAAGACATCCAAGGGACTCGAGAAGTCACTCCATCCAAAAGAAATTGTGGATTTGAAGGTAGCAAGGTGGGAGATGGCTTCCCCACCTCCCACAGGTGAGCTGGCCTCCTGGGGTGGGCTAGTATAGACTGATGAGAGGGAAAAGTCGATTCCAAAGCATTACCAGGAAGCCTAAGCCATTTGGGATCAGAAGGGCAGGGAGAGAGGCAACCTTAGAAATGATAGGCCAGCTCTACCTCCCAATTTTATTTTTACAAATGGATTAGTGTCATGGGGAAACACTTACTGATATGGAAGGATGTTTTGTTATTGCCCATTGGAGATTCTTTCATGACTCCTGCAGCACTCTCATTTTGCGAATCTGAGATAAGAAGAGTAAGAGTGGGTGTGCACATGTGTTTGTGCACGTATGTGCCTACGTGTAGACACAGGGTGAAGTCAGCACATCCTCCAGGGCCTGGTAGAATAATGGAGATGGTATGGAACCAACTGGGAAGCTCTAGGAGCTCATGGAGAACAAAGAGAGTGCAGATGGCCGTGCTATGTGTGCATATTTTTAGGAAGGGCAGAGTGACAGAATTCCTGTGTCATGGTTTGGAATCCTTTCTCACCTGGACAGGTCTTTGCCTTCAGTGATGTGTATTTGCTTCACCCTTTAGCTGGAGCAGTGCAGGCACTTGCCAGCTGACACAAGGACTCTGTAGAGAACTGAGAAATGCTTGTGTGTGGCACCCAGTCAGTGAGTGTTACTGGCTAAGCTCCCTCCCTTGTTGCACACCAGACTCTGGTGACTAGAGGAGTTGACAAGACACAGCATGTGAAGAATGTAGCTCACACGGGACACATAAGCCACAGTAAGTGATAGCTCTGAATCCTTGTGGCTGAGACAGGGCTAGAATCTGAGGCCCAGCCCACCTTCCAGGCCAGCATGCACCCACCGTGCCACTGCTTTTGTTCTCTGGGGTCCCTGTGTCTTGCGGTCCAGCTTCCACTGGACACTGCACCTCTGAAGGAAGACAGATAACAAGGCTGATCACAGGTGTCTGAATGATGGGCTGGGGTTCCTGAGTTGGGTCCAGAGCCTTCATATGCTGACATGTGGCATTGTTTGCAGCTCAGCCCTGGGGGGATAACTGCAGTAAAGTGGTGCCTTCTCTAGAAAGTCAGCAAGTCAGGGGTTCTTGGAATATCCATGGTGCTCCTCCCTGGTGGGGAACCAGCTCCCGAGCTGGGGGTGGGGGGCTGGGTGAGGGGGCAGTGTGGGAGGAAAGCTTTGAAGGCTGCAGGAGATAGGCCTGGTCACATCCTGCAGGTGGCCAGACAACATGGGGACACTCATGCACTGTACTCCACCTCTTGCAGCCTCATGTTTTCTCCCGCAAAGCAGCAGTGACAGTGACAAATATCTGCAGTGTGGCTGTGAAGAGGCAGGTAGCACGTGCGCAGTGCCTGGAGCTTTGAGGGCTGGGTGAGGGCTGAGTGGGGATGTGTGGTCTCTTGCTACCCCCAAATGTGGGCTGGGAGTACTTGGACGTGGATTCCTCTTGTGACAACGTGGAATGTAGGATGCTGCATTTGTGGGGCCTAGAAGTTCTTGTGTGACCCTGCTTTGGGCTCATTATGAGTGTTTGTGGGTGCGTGGAAATGAGAGTTCTTTGCGGGCTTTGTGGATGAGAAAAAACTCAACAGAGAAGGCAGGACAGGACCTGGGCCTTGAAGGACAGATGGGTGTGCACATGGGAAGAGGAACCAAAGGGGGAGAGGGATGGCTGAGCAAATGCTCTGAGGATGGAATGTGTTGCGTTTTCAGTGTTTGATGAGGAAACCAGCCAAGTGCAAAGAGTTTACCCACACAAATGGGGAGAAGATCCCAGTGCCATCTTTCCTTTTTGTCGTCATCATCATCATCGTTATCATCATCATCATCATCATCATCATCACATTTCATCGAAATGATTTATAGGCGCCCCCATCTTCCCAGCCAGGCTGTGAGCCCTTGAGAGCAGAGACTGGGTCTACCCTAGCTTACTCTTGACCTGGGTCTCCAGGGCCTGGCACCTAGCAGGTGCTCCATACAGATGTATTTGAATGAATGAGTGAATGAGAGAGTGAGTGAATCTGTTGAGAAAGGCAGATTATGACCGGATTGTGGAAGGTATTGTGTAGGGACTGGGGACCCATTGAAATGCTTGAGTGGGAAAATATCTCTCAAGGGGATGCATTAGGGGAAGAGTAACCTGAGAGCCATGTGCAGGGTGGACTGAGGGGTAGGGAGAGCAGATAGGATGGAGGACCATGAGGAGGCGACCAGGTGAGGTTTTTGACTCATCTCTGAGATGATGGAAAAAGAAAGCACAGTCAGGACAGGAATTAAACACACACTCAGCAAACATTTTCATATCGTGTCCTCTTCCGATGGTTTCTACCATGCTTAAGATTCTACATCCTTTTTTCCCCCACTAATATAATAATAGTAAAAGTCGGAAAAGAGTCTAAATAATTAAGAAGAGGTGAGAAAAAGCTGCAACGTGCCACAGTTTTGTCCACCTGGCTTGGCTGTGGAAAGGGCTGGAAGGTGAGCCCAAGAATGGATGGGGACAAGGAACATGGCAGGCACTGGATCTGGAAGGGAGAGAGGGCTGGACAGCGGGCAGTGCTGATGGCCTCAGCACAGATCCACTGCGTTCTTTTTCAGAAAAGGTGGAATTCTTGACTTTACTGTTATAAAGTGAGGGGTAGAGGAAGAGAAAGGATTAATAACTGTTTGTTTTCTGCTAAGTTAAAAACCTAAGTTCTTTGAAATGGTTATACACAATGTTCTAAAGATTTTATAAATTCCTCTGTAGGACAAGCCTCCAGGGAGAATATGTCCCAAGGGAATGTCCCTGCAAGAACAGAGCCAGAGGGAGCAGTTGGAAGTTTCCTCAGAAATGCAAACCACCCTCTGTAGATTAAAGGCCTTCGCGTTGGCTTCTGTTTTGCCCTGTTGGAACTTGCCGTGTTCGGAGAATCATGGTCAGTTAAGATCAACCTTCAAGGACATACATAGATAACAGAAGCCCAAAATGTCCAGTTACAATGTCAGAAAGGGAGACAGAACAAATGGGAAGAGCACAGTGTGATTGTCTAACCCTGGATCCTCCCCATTTTTAGTTGTTATTATACTTTGTTTCTGGTCATGATTAGTAGAAAACCTTGCAGACAGAATGGGCCTGTACACCTGCTCGTCTTCAGTGTTACAAGGTAGGGAGGTTGAGTTCTCTCTTCAGCCAGGTTTGGGACAGAACAACCCAGGGGAGCAAGAGGTGGGACAGCCACAGAAAGGAGAGAAGCTACAAAGGTCCTGGGGCCTTTGTCAGAGAAGGAAAGGGAGAATATCCTAATTAGAGGCTGTGATGGTTAATTTTATGTGTCAGTGTGGCTGGGTCATGGCCCAGGAATGTGGTCAAGCATTATTCTGGATGTTTCTATGAGAGTGTTTTGGATGAGATTAACATTTAAATCAGTTTGAGGAAAGCCGACTTTGAGTAAAGCAGATCGCCCTCCACAGTATGGGTGGGTCTCATACAATCAGTTGAAGGCCTGAATAGGACAAAAGACTGACCTTCCCCAAGCAGGAGGAAATTCTGCCAGCAGACAGCCTTTGGACTCAAACTGAGGCATTGGTTCTTTCCTGGGTTCTCAGCCTGATGACCTTTGAAACTGAACTGCAGCATCGGCTCTCCTGGGTCTCCAGCCTACAGGCCACCCTGCAGATTTTGGGTTAGCCAGCCTCCATAATTGTGTGAGCCATTTCCTTAAAAGAAACCTCCCTTTGTACCCTCTGTGTGTATATACATCCTACTGGTTCTGTTTTTCTGGAGAACCCGGACTAGTTTAGAGGCTTAGTTACAGCAGCTCCACAGATTTCTAGTACCTGCATTCTTGGGACCGCACCCAGGAAGGAGGAGAAACCAGCTGGAGCAGACAGACCTTTCAGAGTTAGTGCACCTTGATGAAGCCACTGCTTCACTCCTGCTTGCCTTTGGTTACGTGTGCTATTAGCAAAACTTGGTTGGTCTCAAGCCATACACAATTCCAAGCATGCTAAAAATTCGGGGAGAGGTATTTGCTACATTTACAAGGGGATGTTTAAATGTTATTTAGGGAAAGCAGAGCATGATAATTACTTGCCAAGCAGGATTCCCTTGACTCAACATTAAAAAACAGATATGAAACAGAAGGCACAGCATTAGAACAACATTTCTCTTCAATAATGAACTTTACTTAACTGAAGTAGATGGTTTAACCCTCAAGTATTCTAGTTTATCTTCATATTCTGGCCCAACAAAATTTCAGCCAATTAGCATTCCTGACTTGGTGTAAGACAATGCATAGCTTTATGGTTTTGACCATGCTTGTTGAATGGAGTGATTGTCTTGACCATTCAGATTGAGCAGGGACCGTGACTAGACAAATCAAGTAGATAACATAGAGAGTAGGTAGCATAAAGATTCAGTGGAAAAAAAATAAAGCACATGTCTTTCTGGCTGGAAGTCATTTCTGAGAAACAGAGAAGTGTGTCCTTCTGGTCCAAGATTCATTTCCAAATTGGTGACTATGAACCCCAGAGGAGTGCCAGTCATGATGGCACCCAAGGCCGCCAGGGGGGCCAAGAAGTGAGTTGGACCTCAGCAAATAGAGGAGGCACTGAAGGAGCAGTCTCAGCTCCATCTCTTTCAGTGCTGAAATAAAATTTTGTGCTACTTGGTTAGTCTTGAATCCTGACATTTGGAGTGAGGGTCAGGGGTATTGGGAGAAGAAGAGGGGAGAAGGAGGGAGACATTTCTAGCCAATTCCAGACATTCTCACAACAATAACAGCATTAAAACACTGTCCAAATGCTCGAAGTGAAAATGAAACATTGGACAGTGAGATTTTAGTGGGAGGAAAGTGGACTTCATATTACATACGCCACGTTCTTGATAAACTACTTGCTAAACTCCTAAAATGCCATGTTCTCTTCCCATTCTAGGTCTTGCCCCATCTTTGCTGGAGACTACCTATTCATTAACCTAACTTTTCCTTGATCATTAGGTCTTTACGCAGAACCACTTCTAGAAGCCTTTCTCATTCTTCCTGTGTGCTGCCACAGCCCTGCCACGTGGTAGAATAACTGCCTCCTAGACTATATGATCCTTGAAGGCAGGGATGTGATTTGCACACAGTTATATCTACCGTGCCTTGAACAGGACATATAAGTGGCCTCCTTCCCACTCCCTAAAGTTTTGACTTTGTCCCAGAGCCCAGTGGATCTGATTTAACCCCAAAGCCGGGCCGCTATAGGGCCTACCTATTCTTATTTAGCTGATCCCATTTTTGGACCTGCTTTGACATAGAAACCCACTTTCTGCATTTATTCCTTATTATATAGTCCCTGCTTGCTACCCCAGCTCTTCCAGAAAATGGATTTCCTTTCTTGAATCTCAGTTTCCCTTGGCTGTACCAAATACCTGCAAGTAGGTCTCCCCAGTTCTGATAATGGAGGCTGGTTGCTTCCATTAGAACTTGTGCCCATCATCAGTTTTTCCAGCTTGTCTTAGATATGATCCTAGACCCTGAGTGTTGGCCATGCCTTCAAAAAATGGGAATTTCAGCATGTTTTGGACCTACCTTTAAGTGCATGTCCTTTAATAACTGATGCTGTCGTTTTTTTTGTTTGTTTGTTTTTGTTGTTGTTGTTTTGTTTTGTTTTTTAGATTCAAAGCCTTGCTATGTTGCCCAGGCTGATCTCAAACTCCTAGACTCAAGCAATCCTCCTGCCTTGGCCTCACAAAGTGCTTGGATTACAGGCATGATCTGCCATGCCTGGCTCTGTGTATTCTAATACTGGTCTCTCACCTAGCCCTGAGGAACCTCTTGGACATCATTCCTGGGCTCTCTGGATCTGTCTGTCCCTCTTGGCAGTTCCCAGATGTCAGGGATTGGCTGTGGGTACAATCTCATAAGCGTAAGGATAAACAGTAATGTGTCTCGGAAACATGCTCAAAGACCTAGATTTTCTATATTTGGAGATTTAAAACTTTTTTCTGCAAATTGCAAAACAAAGACCAGCTGTACTCTCCCAAGAAAAAGCCCAATTATACTCATGCCAGGTGGAGTCCTACTTTTGTAATGAAAATGTAGGGCCTTGTCATAGGTCCAATATGGTCCCCCAGCGAAGTCCACGCCATAATGCCTGGAACTTGGGAATATGTTACCTTACATGGCCAAAGGGAGTTTACAGATGGAAGTAGATGACTGACCTTAAGATAGGGAGACTCTCCAGGTGGGCTCAATTCAATTATCTGCCCTCTTAAAAGCAGGAAACTCTCTCTGGGTGGAGTCAGAGAGACGCAGCAGAAAGGAAGTCAAGGAGATTCAATGTGCAGTTCTGAGAAGGGATTCAGTGTGCCGTTGCTGGCTCTGAGAAGTAGGAGCCTTGTGCAAGGATTCAGGAGAGGCCTCTAGAAACTGAGGATGGCCCTCAACTGGCAAGCACAGGCAACTGAATTCGGCCAGGCATCTGGGTGAGTTTGGAAGCAGATTCTTCTCTGGGGCCCCCACTAAGGATTGTGGTTCTGCTGATAGCTTGATTTCACCCCATGAAACTCTAAAGAGGACCCACTCTGAGTGTGGTGGTTCCCACTTGTAACCCTAGCACTTTGAAAGGCTGAGGTGGGAGGATCACTTGAGCCCAGGAGTTTGAGACCAGCTTGGGCAATATAGTGAGATCCCATCTCTACAAAAAACAAAACAAAACCAGACAGAAATTAGCCAGGTGTGGTGATGCCTGCCTGTAGTCCCAGCTACTCAGGTAGGCTGAGGTGGTAGTCTGGGAGTTTAAGGCTGCAATTGTAACTGCCCAACAGGTTCACCTTGCCTGCTGCTTAGACAAGGCTGATTTATCAAGACAGGAGAATTGCAATAGAGTAATTCACGCAGAGCCAGCTGTGCAGGAGACCAGAGTTTTATGATTACTCAAATCAGTCTCCTCGTGCATTCGGAGATCAGAGTTTTTAAGGATAATTTGGTGGGTGGGGGCCGGTGAGTCGGCAGTGCTGATTAGTAAGGTCAGAGATGAAATAATAGGGAGTCGAAGCTGTCCTCTTACACTGAGTCAGTTCCTGGGTGGGGACCGCAAGATCAGATGAGCCAGTTTATCAATCTGAGTGGTGCCAGTGGATCCATCAAGTGCAGGGTCTTCAAAATATCTCAAGCACTGATCTTAGTTTTTACAATAGTGATGTTATCCCAGGAGCAATTTGGGGAGGGTCAGAATCTTGTAGCCTCCAGTTACATGACTCTTAAATCATAATTTCTAATCTTGTGGCTAATTTGTTTGTCCTACAAAGTCAGTCTAGTCCCCAGGCAAGAAGAAGGTTTGTTTTGGGAAAGGGCTGTTTTAAACTATAAACTACAAACTAAATTCCTCCCAAAGTTACTTTGGCCTACACCCAGGAATGAGCAAGGACAGCTTGGAGGTTAGAAGCAAGATGGAGTTGGTTAGATCAGATCTATTTCACTGTCTCAGTTATAATTTTGCAATGGTGGTTTCACAATAAGCTATGATTGTGCCACTTCTACTCCAGCCTGGGCGACAGAGCAAGCAAGACACTATCTCTAAACAAATAAAATAAAAATAAAAGTAAAAAGAAGACCCAGTTGAACCACACTGTACCCAGACTTCTGAGCTACAGAACTGTGAGATAATACATAGGTGTTGTTTTAAGCCACTGAATTTGTGGGGGTTTGTTCTGGTAGCAATATAAAATGAATGGAGGCCATCACGGAGGTCAGATGGGACCTCAATGGGAAGATTTCCCATTGCCTCTCGCCATCTAAGATCCTTGGGCTGCAAAGTATCTCTCTACTGCTCTTTGCTGATTGCACAGTTAATGAAGAAAACCCCCTGAGCCAAGAACACTGGGATTTTCATCTCCGTCTGACAACAGCTTTCTTCCTGGGCAGGAGCTTCCCTCAGTCCCACATATTTGGAGTTCCACAGCCTTCCCTGGGAGCCAGAATGTGGTCATTTCCTTGCCCAGCCCAGTAGAGCCAAGCTCTAAGGAAGCTGTTATCAAAACAGGAACATTCCTTTCATGTGTCCAGTATTCTGGCTGCAAAGTGGAGAGAGACTTACTCTGCAGCAAAAGCAAAGCATCAAATAAAACATTTCTGTGAAAGACCTGGCAAGCGGGCATGTCAGCTCTCTGAAGACGTCCTCTTGTTCAGCAAAGTGAAATAGTCTATAGAAATAGGGCTGGAACAAAGGGCCCTGGTGGCTTTGTCCTGGATTCCCTATGAATGGTCAGCTTCCTTGGGCAGAGTTCAGTGCAAATGAGGTCAAGGCTTGGCTCTGGAGGCAGGCCAGTGAGCTCCAGTCTATTTTGTGGAGAAAGACTCCCTCTAATTCCAAATGCCTTTATTGAACACCTAATATTTTCCAGGTCCTGTGCTAGGGGCTAGGAAGACAAAGAGAAACAGAGTCACATCCTCCCACAAAAATCCATGAGATGTCGGAGAGCCGAACTTGTAAACAGCCATCATCAACACAAAGAAGGATGCACTGATGCTCTCTAGAGGCTCACAGGAAATGATTCATGGGCATAGAGGTAAGAGACATGAATTCTGCTTGCATATTCCCAACGAAGTGTCACAGGAGAGAGAGTATTTGAGCCAGACTTTGATTGAGAGTCAGGGATAAAAAATTGTTGGTGACATGTATTTGGTGCTTTACATTTTGTAATTTCACTTCAATGGAATTTTGGTAGGCAGAGCACAGCCGAGGTGTTTTAATGTAGAAAACTGTAGGATTAGGTATACGTGGGCAAAAAGATGTAAAACTTCATGATATTTCCAGCAACTAGGCGTTTGCATTGTTACTGGGGTGCTGTTGCTTCTACTTCTCAGTGGACACGGAATCTATCCAGGAATGTTCCTGATTTACATCAGATAGATTTACATCAGGAACATACCTAGATTTATATCAGGAACATGCCTACATAGATTCCCATAGCTGTCTACATAGATTCAGATCTATGATTTTACACCAATGTCTTCAATTCCAAACAGCACCTCAGGGTTCAGTTTAGTTTTCTCACTTTCCATATATAAATGTATATATTTTTTGAGACGGAGTCTCACTCTGTTGCCCAGGCAACAATCATGCAATGGCGCGATCTCGGCTCACTGCAACCTCCACCTCCCAGGTTCAAGCAATTATCCTGCCTCAGCCTCCTGAGTAGCTGGGATTACAGGCGCCCACCACCACGCCTGGCTAATTTTTGTATTTTGAGTAGAGACGGGGTTTCACCATGTTGGACAGGCTGGTCTTGAACTCCTGATCTCAGGTGATTCACCTGCCTTGGCCTCCCAAAGTACTGGGATTACAGGCGTGAGCCACTGTGCCTGGCCTCACTTTCCATATTTGTAACTCCCTTCTCCACAGTGTTCCTGGAGAATAAAGTGCACTGAGATAGAGAAGACAGATGTGAAGGATGGTTTGGGATCTGCCAGGGAGGTCCCTGAGTGCCATGATAAGATAAAAGACTCTATCTCTTAGGTATGGGTGAGTTATTCAAGGTTTCTGAGAAGAGAGTGATAAGATTAAATCAGAAGAGTAAAGTTAACAGACATTTAAATAGAATCAAATAAGGTTTTTAGGTAGAAAGGGAAGGCCTGGGGACATTTGTTGCAGAGTGGTAAAAATGATGTTGGACTGAGTTCAACTTGGTTGCTAGATAGCTCCATACTGCAATGCCCCTGTGTGATAAGCTCAGCGTATTCCTTCACATTCTGGAATGCTTTTTACTTGGAATCTGAAAGTCACTGTGGAGGTGCTCAAGAGGTTACACTGTGCTTGTTTACCCATCATCCATGTCATAACAAGGACCCATTATTACGCAGGAGGGAGATTTCTTTTTTTTTTTTTTTTTTTTTTGAGACGGAGTCTCGCTCTGTCGCCCAGGTGGGACTGCGGACTGCAGTGGCGCAATCTCGGCTCACTGCAAGCTCCGCTTCCCGGGTTCACGCCATTCTCCTGCCGCAGCCTCCCGAGTAGCTGGGACTACAGGCGCCCGCCACCGCGCCCGGCTAATTTTTTTTGTATTTTTAGTAGAGACGGGGTTTCACCTTGTTAGCCAGGATGGTCTCGATCTCCTGACCTCATGATCCACCCGCCTCAGCCTCCCAAAGTGCTGGGATTACAGGCGTGAGCCACCGCGCCCGGCCAGGAGGGAGATTTCTATATAAGGATTTTATAAATGGATAACCTGTGTCACAATGAGGCTGGAGTTCATTGTCAGAGGACACTGGAATCCTTCTTCAATGACTATGTGTAAGTCAGGATGTCTTTTGTGGAGAATAATTGAAAACCCAACATGAGAAGCTTAAACAACAAGGAATTTTAATCACTCCCGTGGCTGACAGTCCAGAGGAATCAGGACAGGCTCGATCCAGTGGCCCCAGATCTTTCCCTGTGATCCTCTTCGCTCTGCCTTCTTCTCAGGCTGGCAGTGAGACGATCACATGATTTTTGGGGTCTCATCTCAATGCCTGGCATTATCCAGAGGAGGAAAAAAGTTTCAGAAAGTCTTCATAGAAGGAAAAAAGACTTTTCTAGAAGTTTTCAGTAATAGTAATAGTCTCCTTGTATCTTAAGAACATTTCTTTCCATTTGTTTTATTTTCTTTCTATTTTTTGAGAAACAATCTCAAATTTAGAGAAAACCTTCAAGAACAGTACAAAAAAGTTATTTCTCTGAATTATTTGAGAGTAATTTGCTGACGTGAAATTCTGTGCACCAGGATAATTTAGCGTATACTTCCTGTGGAACAAAGACATTCTCCTACAAAGCCAAAATTCTAAATCACAGACACCATTCAAGGTTTTTTGTTTGTTTGTTTGTTTGTTTTTTTAGATGAAGTCTCACTGTGTCACCCAGGCTGGAGTGCAATGGTGCAGTCTCAGCTCACTGCAACTTCCACCTCCTGGGTTCAAGTGATTCTCCTGCCTCAGCCTCCCTAGTAGCTGGGATTACAGGCATATGCTACCATGTTCGGCTAATTTTTGTATTTTTAGTAGAGCCAAGGTTTCACCATATTGGCCAGGCTGGTCTCAAACTCCTGACCTCAGGTGATCCACCTGCCTCAGCCTCTCAAAGTGCTGGGATTACAGGTGTGAGCCACTGCGCCCGGCCTTCCATTCCAGTTTTGCCACTTGTACTGATAATGTCCTTGTAAAGGATGTCCGACTTTCATGACCTTGATATTTTAAAAGACTGTAGCCCAGTTATTTTATTGAAGGTCCCTTGGTTTGGGTTTATCTGATGTTTCCTTATGATTGGATTCAAGTTTTGCATCTGTGGCAGGAATACCACAAAAGGTAATGTGGTGTTTGTTTCATTGCATCTTATCACCTGGCACATGATTTTGATTTGTTTCATCATGGGAGATGTTAGTTTTGACCACTTCATTAAAGCAGTATCTGCCAGCCTTCTTCACTGTAGTTAACTTACTTTTCCTTTGTCATTATTAAGTTGTAGGAAGGTACTTTGAGACACTGTGAATACATACCTTCTTATCAAACATTTAATGTCTTAATTTATCTATATATTTATATTAGTATGGACTCATGAATTCCTAATTCATTTAATGGGTTATGATCTCTAACTACTGTTATTTATTTTGATACTGAGATTCTCCTTTATTTGACTGGTAGGAACCTTTAAGCTGGACTCTGTGTCCTTTTGAAATGTCTCCTAATTCTTTGGGCACATCTTACTTTCTGGTAGAATAAGATGTTCCAGACTCATTTTGCCCTTTCCTTGCTCAAATCATGGAACCAGCCATTTTTTTTGGTAAGTAGTCCTAGCTCCATTTAGTGGAGAAAGATATTTAGAAGCCAAAATTTGGATACTAAGTATTCTTATTGCTACTGGGTTGTTATTGCTTCTAGAGTCTCTCAGTGAACAGGGCTAGGGACTCTATACTGTTATATATATCTGCATTTACATCTATGTCTATTTCTACACCGATCAATCTATATATTGAAATCCATGACTTCACACCAATGTCTCCAATTCCAACACACCACAGGGTCAAACTAGTTTCTCTCTTTCCATGTTTGTGATTCCCTACTCCAAGAGTGACAAACTTGGCTACCATAATTCTCATCCTATTTGTTCATTTGACTAATCCCCAATGTGTAATCAATTTCCCATTGCTGTAGTCTTCCCCTCCCAACATCCTGCCCTCCCTTGATAGTAGCATCCTCTTGTTTCTAATCGGCTTTCACAGCCATGTCTGATCCAGTCACTGAAAAGGGGATGCAAAAACCTTTATTTAGACCAACAAATCAAAGCTGCCTCTGGAGCTGGGGTGGGGTCATCTTTCATTGGGACACGTGGGCTGTGTATAGGAGAGGTAGATATCTAAAAATAATTCAAAGTTCTCTAAGAAAAAAAGAAGGGAGAATCGATGTTGAGTTAGCAGTAACAGTGCTCACTAAAGAGCTGTACAAACACATTCCTGTTATTGAAAACAAACATGTCAAACTGAAGGCAGACCTCTTGCATCATCTTTCTAACGATGGGAAGCACAACTCCTTGGTGCTAGAGCCAAGGAACAATGTCTGACTGCTGAGAAAAGAACCAATAATGTAAACAGCCTCCATGAACAGCAAACTATTCAGACAAGAATTCTGGAGCAGAGCCCAGGGCTTAAGTCATGGCAGAATAAATATATTCTGAAATCACAGCCCAGCTTTTCCCTATCTCAACCCCCTCCCTGTTCCCTTCCCCATACAATTATTTGGATTAAATGTATGTGAATTCAAAATGTTAAAGACATTGACAAATTTCTGTATGGAAATGTTGCAAAAAGTTCCATTTTCACCAAAGCGTTGATGAATGCGGGCTCCTCCATACCTGGGCCACCTGAGCCAACATGATGTATTAATATTGCCAGACTTACGCACTTTTTCCATTCTGAAAATTGGCACTTGTGGTTGTTTGGATTTGCATTTATTTAATCATAAATAAAGTAAAACATGTTTTCATATGGTTAAAACATCATTTTTGACCAGGTGCAGTGACTTATGCCTGTAAACCCAACATTTTAAGAGGCTGAGGTGGGAGGATCACTTGAGGACAGGAGTTCAAACCAGCCTGGGCAACATAGTGAGACCCCATCTCTACAAAAAATAAACAAAATTAGCTGGGCATGATGGTGCTTGCCTGTGGTCCCAGCTGCTCAGGGGATAGGGAGCTGGGATGGGAGGACAGCTTGAGCTTGGGAGGCTGAGGCTGCAGTAAGCCAAGATCATGCCACTGTACCCCAGGTTGGGTGACAGAGTGAGGTCCTGTCTCAGAAAAAATCATTTTTATGTTCTCTGTGAAAGCCTATTTATATACTCTACTTTTCTTCATTGCATGTATTATTTTTTTTCTTACTGATTTGTAAGAGCTCTTTGTATATTGAGAAAATTACAATATGATCTTGTGATATGAATTGCAAATATTTCACCTACTTTGTTTTTAGGGTAGTTTTTTCTGGTTAACATTTTTTGCCTTTTATGTTATCAGATGTATCAATCTTTTGCTTAAGGCCTTATGACTTGAAGAATTAAATTCTGTATAAAGCGTGTTACTGCTAAGCCCTGCCCCTCCCTGTCCGCATCCATCCCAAGCAGTCTGGTTTCTACCCCAAGATCTTAGCCCTTCCTCTGTCAGGATGGACACTCAGCTGAGGCCTTTCATGATGTTCCTTTGTCATAAACTGACAGCCCATGGTATTCTAGATGCTGTTCTAGGTGCTGGGGATGCAAAGATTCAGGTGAAGAAGGCCCAGCCTGTGCCTCCCAGGAGCTCAGAGTCGGGTTGTGTGAACAAATAAGTTAAATAAAGTCTATGATAAAAGTCTGTACAGGGCAGAATGGAGCCAAAAACAAAACAAAGTCAAGAAAGTTTTTAAAAGGCGGTGACCCTTGATTTGGGTCTTGGAAGTGCCACAGGTTTTCACCAGGTACATCAAGAGTGAGTGGAGAAGGGCATTCCAGGGAGAAGAAGCATCTGGGGTCCAAGTGTGGCTGCCACAGAGGGAGGGCACATCTGCCAGGCAAGAGGGTCCAGATCACAGAATCCTGAGGTTGGGCTTTGCTCTGAGGGCAACTGAAGGGTTTTAAGAAGAGAGAGGTAATCAGGCTTGTAATACAACACTGCTCTTGACAGCAGGGTGGAGGGATGGCGGAGGAATGGCAGAATTAGAGACCCAGAGACCGGATACAAAACCACAGTTCATGTGACACTTACAGAAGGCCAGGACCTAACAGTGAGTAATAGGAGGGTGGAGAGCAGAGGATGAGTGTGAAGGAGGAAGACTAGTGAAGTTTGGGTGTATTAGAAGGAGGCGGTTTGCATATTGGAGAGAAGGAGGCGGAGTGGGGAGTGACATGGAATGCAGGATTGAGGAGGACTCCGAGTCTCTTTCAGTGTGGAAGGTGCTGCTGACACTGAGGAGGGAACACAGGACAAGGTGGTTTAGTTTTGGGCTTACTGTGTTTAAGGAGTCAGTGCGATATCCCAGTAGAGATGACCCATAGGCCGTCACTGGGAATAAACAGCTATGGGTCTGGAGAGAGCCTAGGCTGGAGACAGAGATTTGAATTAGTCATCAGTGATGGGGAGGCCCTGACAGTGGATGGGATGGCCAAGTAGTGGTGTGAAGTGCTGCATCTTAAGTGTGTATTTTAATTTAATTTAATTTAATTTAATTTAATTTAATTTAATTTAATTTATTTAAGGGCAGAGTCTCGCTCTGTTACCTAGGCTGGAGTGCAGTGGCATGATCATGGCTCACCGCAGACTCAACCTCCCCAGGCTCAGGTGATTATCGCATCTCAGCCTCCCAAGTAGCTGGACTACAGGCACGCACCACCACACCCGGCTAATTTCTGTATTTTTTTGGAAAGACAGGGATTCGCCATGTTGTCCAGGCTCGTCTCGGACTCCTGGGCTCAAGCAATCTGCCTGCCTTGGCCTCCCAAAGTACTGGGATTACAGGCATGAGCCACCGTGCTCAGCTTTATGTGTATGTTTTAATTTAACAAATATTTACGTAGCACCTGCTATCGACCAGGTACTTTATACATACTTGTTCATTTAAAACAAATACAACTTTTAGGAAGACACTATTATTACCCTCATTTTGCAGATGAGAGAGCTGAGGCTCAGAGAGGTTCACCAACCTGCCCAAGGTCTTGCAGGTCAAAGTGGCAGAGACGAGGCTTGAACCTAGGTTCTCTGGCCCCAATACTCATGCCCTCTACCACCACACTGTGCTATGCTGCTACTTTATACAGCATGTTGATTGTCAAGGAAGTTTATAGGAGTGAGAATAACTACAACTTATTTTCTCCTGGGACCCAGGGATCTTTGTATAAAGACTCTACTCCCTGCCCTTACACGGAGACATCTATGAGTTGCGGAGGAGCCTTTGATTTATGGGTGAAGGCACCATGCTACCTGTATCTCTTCTCTATGGATGCAGGGCATTGAATGACAGAGAACAGCTGACAGGGAGGGCCACTGGTCCCTCTCACTTCTTGCCAGTTTCAGTTAATTTCCATCTACTTTTTCTACCCCTCCCAACAATGAGTCTTGGTTTTGTGTTTCACCAGGATCCAGATGGTGTTGTAAGTTCATTATTCCCACCATAAATCTTCAAAAAAAAATCACATATCAGTGATAGATAACATATAAAGAGAAGACAACAGATCATAGCCACATTAAAAATCAAGACAAAATTTCTACGGACCAGAAGTGTAACAGAAGCACAAGCCAGGGGGATGTGCTGTCACAGGACTTTTGGATTTAGGTCCTGAAACAGGCACAGTGGATGAGAGTTTATATGCTGCAAAGTCATGGCCACTAAATGTACTTCACATGGGGCAGTGGTCCTGGGCCAGGCTCATTCATGCACCTAGGCAATGGGATTGGGCTCTCCCTGCAAAGGAGGCTGGAAAAAGTTACTGCTGGCTGCATATTCTGTTTCAGGGCCTCTGGCTTATGCAACTACCCAGGGAGGGCTGGAGAAAGGAGATCCAGCCGTATAGCTAGGACTTGAGCCAAGCTGCCTGCTGCGTCAAAGGCAGAATGTGAGGTATCTCACTCACCACAACATGGAATTTCTAAGCCATCAATATAAGTTTTGGTTCAAGACTGGGAGATCTGAGAGAGGGGCAGGTGGAGGTGACCAGCAAACTGCTAGGCAGGGTGGGGTAAGTGGAGAAAGAGGAGAGGAAAGAGGAAGAAGGAGAGGAGAGAGGTGAGAGGAGGGAGGGGGAGAGAAAGAGAGAAGAAGGGGGGAGAGAAAGAGAGAGAGAGAGATTTCCACTCAGTAGGAGCCTATAAACTAAAACTGTTTTTTGTTTTGGGTTTTTTTTTTCATTATTTTTAATTTTATTTAATTTAATTTTATTTTAGTATTATTATTACACTTTAAGTTTTAGGGTACATGTGCACAATGTGCAGGTTAGTTATATATGTATACATGTGCCATGCTGGTGTGCTGCACCCATTAACTCATCATTTAGCATTAGGTATATCTCCTAAAGCTATCCCTCCCCTCTCCCCCCACCCCACAACAGTCCCCAGGGTGTGATGTTCCCCTTCCTGTGTCCATGTGTTCTCATTGTTCAGTTCCCACCTATGAGTGAGAATATGCGGTGTTTGGTTTTTTGTTCTTGCGATAGTTTACTGAGAATGATGATTTCCAATTTCATCCATGTCCCTACAAAGGACATGAACTCATCATTTTTTATGGCTGCATAGTATTCCATGGTGTATATGTGTCATATTTTCTTAATCCAGTCTATCATTGTTGGACATTTGGGTTGGTTCCAAGTCTTTGCTATTGTGAACAGTGCCACAATAAACATACGTGTGCATGTGTCTTTATAGCAGCATGATTTATAGTCCTTTGGGTACATACCCAGTAATGGGATGGCTGGGTCAAATGGTATTTCTAGTTCTAGATCCCTGAGGAATCGCCACACTGACTTCCACAATGGTTGAACTAGTTTACAGTCCCACCAACAGTGTAAAAGTGTTCCTATTTCTCCACATCCTCTCCAGCACCTGTTGTTTCCTGACTTTTTAATGATCGCCATTCTAACTGGTGTGAGATGGTATCTCATTGTGGTTTTGATTTGCATTTCTCTGATGGCCAGTGATGGTGAGCATTTTTTCATGTGTTTTTTGGCTGCATAAATGTCTTCTTTTGAGAAGTGTCTGTTCATATCCTTCGCCCACTTTTTGATGGGGTTGTTTGTTTTTTTCTTGTAAATTTGTTTGAGTTCATTGTAGATTCTGGATATTATTAGCCTTTTGTCAGATGAGTAGGTTGCGAAAATTTTCTCCCATTTTGTAGGTTGCCTGTTCACTCTGATAGTAGTTTCTTTTGCTGTGCAGAAGCTCTTGAGTTTAATTAGATCCCAAAACAGAGATATAGATCACTGGAACAGAACAGAGCCCTCAGAAATAACGCTGCATATCTACAACTATCTGATCTTTGACAAACCTGAGAAAAACAAGCAATGGGGAAAGGATTCCCTATTAATAAATGGTGCTGGGAAAACTGGCTAGCCATATGTAGAAAGCTGAAACTGGATCCCTTCCTTACACCTTATACAAAAATTAATTCAAGATGGATTAAAGACTTAAACGTTAGACCTAAAACCATAAAAACCCTAGAAGAAAACCTAGGCGTTACCATTCAGGACATAGGCGTGGGCAAGGACTTCATGTCTAAAACACCAAAAGCAATGGCAACAAAAGCCAAAATTGACAAATGTTTTGTTTTGTTTTTGAGATAGAGTCTCACTGTGTTGCTCAGGCTGGAGTGCAGTGGTACAATCGCGGCTCACTGCAACCTCTGCCTCCCAGGTTCAAGCGATTCTCCTGCCTCAGCCTCCTGAGTAGCTGGGACTACAGGTGGATGGCACCATGCCTCACTAATTTTTGTATTTTTTTAGTAGGGATGGGGTTTCACCGTATTGGCCAGGCTGGTCTCAAACTCCTGACCTCAGGTGATCTGTCCATCTTGGCCTCAATGACTCTTCTGAGGACAGCTGTTCACCTGCCTAGGGCTGCTACATCATCAAAAATAGCTGCTATTGTATTGAGCCATTACTTCTTTGGATGGTCAAAGATATCAAGGAAAGAAAAACTTATTTAAAAGATGAATAAAAAGTAATTTTAAAAAGGCAGAAATAAAATATCACTAGGTGAATATGGAAAAGAATCAACTTGAAATCCTAGAAATAAGAACAATGATAAATGAAATCTAAAAATTCAATAGATCAAATTGAATGGGAACTCTAGACCAAACACAATTGAAGAGAAAATTGATGAGCTGGAAATATCACCAGAAAGTACTACAGAGTGAAAAAGTAACAAAAAATATGAAAGAGAAGTGAAGAGTCACAGAAGGGAGTTCAAAAAACTCTAATAATCATATAATGAGAGTTCTAGAAAAAGTCGATAATTGATTCAATGGTGGATTGTCATATTTGAAGATACAGATAATCCTTGACTTACGATATTTCAACTTATGAATTTTTTTTACATTATGATGGGGTAAAAGCAATATGCTCCTTAATTTACAATGGGGTTATATCTCAACAAACTCATTCTGAAACTTTATTGGGACATAACCCCACTGTAAGTTGAAGAGCATTTGTATATTGATGAGAATTTTTAAGAGTTGAAAAAAGCCATTGGCTCTTAGGTTAAAAGTGTACACTGAATCAGTAAAAATAAATCCACACATAAATGACTTGTGCATACGCAATGCCAGTGTAACAAAACATTGGATATCAAGAATAAGGATAAAATATTAACGAGTACTGGAAAAAAAACAGTAAATCTATACAAGATGATAATTAGTATGACATCAGACATTTTAACAATGATAGATTTGAGGAGACAATGAAGTAATATCTTCAAAGTGCTGTTGGAAAAAATGGACAACCTAAAATTTTATACCCAGCAAAACTATTATTTACAAATTAAGGCAAAATAAATTGTCAGACAAACAAAGATTAAATGAGTTTACCACTTACAGTTTCTCACAGAAAGAACTAATAGACATGAAATTCCATGAGACAAAAAGTGAACCAAGAGAGAAAGTACAGGATCTAAGAAGCAATGATGCACACAAATAAAGTACTTGGTAATATATATTTTACAAAGATAATCAATGAGAAAAAAGCCTACTTTTTGTGTGTACATTAAAAAAAGAAATGTTCAACATTTAGACAGCATTCACAAGGAAGAGGATGTTCAGTGAGTAGTTGAAACATGCTGAGATTCTTGTCTTGAGAGGAGAATAAAAACGCTGAATAAATTTAACTTTCTTATAAATATTTATGGTTAATTATGATTGCTAAAAATCAAGGAGTAAAACTTAAAGAACAGACCACAATATATCCTTCCAAAGCAGCAAAAGTTAAGAAATAAAGAAAACATTATCAAAGTTTGAGAAGTTAGGAAAGGATAAAAGAAGAAGAAAAAGGAAAAACCAAAGCCAAAACCACAGGAATAAGATGGTAGAAATGTCCCCAAATAAGTCAGTAGTTAGAATAAATGTAAATTGTTGAAGCCTTTTTACTTCTTCTTTTTATTTTTTCAAGCTACAGTCCTCAATAGATGCAGATGAAGGCCTTTTAAATGACATAGATGTTCAGATTTTATTTTTATTTTTATTTATTTATTTATTGAGACAGGGTCTTGCTGTGTCATGCAGGCTGGAGTACAGTGGCACGATCTCACTGCAGCCTCAACTTCCCTTAAGCAATCCTCCCACCTCAGCCTCCCAAGAAGCTGGGACCACAGGTGAATGCCACCATGTTTGGCTAACTTTCTGTATTTTTTGTAGAGATCAGGTTTTGCCATGTTGCCCAGACTGGTCTCGAACTCCTGGGCTCAAGTGATCCTCCTGCCTCGGCCTCCCAAAGTGCTGGGATTATAGGTGTGAGCCACTGTGCCCAGCCTAGATTTGAGTTTTAAAACTGAAATTCAGCTTTGTGCTATGTATAGGAGACATAGTTAAGAAATGACATAGAATAGCTAAAAATTAAATGAAAAAAAGCTAAATCAGACAAACACTAATAAAAAGAAAACTGACATAGCAAATTTAATAGCAGATCAAATAAATTTTAGGTCAAAATTTTATAAATAGGGATAAAGGGGAACATTTATGGCTGGGTGCGGTGGCTCATGTCTGTAATCCCAGCACTTTGGGAGGCCCAGGCGGGCGGATCACTTGAGGTTAGGAGTTCAAGACCAGCCCGGCTAACATGGCAAAAAGCCATCTCTACAAAAAATACAAAAATTAGCTGGGCATGGTGTTGTGCAACTGTAGTCCCAGCTACTCAGGAGGCTGACGAAGGAACATGACTTGAACCTGGGAGGCAGAAGCTGCAGTGAGCTGAGATCGCGCCTCTGCACTCCAGCCTGGGCGATAGAGGAGACTCCCTCTCAAAAAAAAAAAAAAAAAGAAAAAAAAAAGAAAGAACATTTGCAATAAGAAAAGAACAATCCTGCAAGAAGTAACAGATTTGTATGTTCTTAGGATAACCTCAGTATTTATAAAGCAAAACCAAGAGAATTACAAGGAATATTTATAAGGAAATAGATTAAGCTGGTAAAAACATAAGGATATAAAGGATTTCAATAGCATAATTAAAAAGTTGGTCAAATTAGATAAATGGAGAACTCTGCACCTAACAAAGTGATTATGCATTATTTTCAAACACACTTTGGATATTTATAAAAATTGACCCTCTTGATAAAACAATCACATCTTCTGACTATAATGCAGTTAAATTAGAAATCCACAGTTAAAAAAAGAGTATATGACAAGAGATAAATCTATATATCTGAAAACCATAAAACCAATTCCCCAAAATAGTTTTTGGGTTAAAGAGGAAATCATAATAGAAATTGGCAAGGGAACACTTGTTGCTTTTGACATGTGTTATATACGTATTAACTTGTTACCTTGCTAAAGTAACAGCTTATCTTATTACCTTGACTTATGCTTGAACAGTTCCCCTTATGTTTTCATTTTACCTCTCTACCACCTCTCTAATTGTCAAGATTTTTGCTTTTATTTTGCTCAAAAAACATTTCTCAGAAACCCTCTTTACTTGTATAGCTTTTGTGTTTTTATCCTTGTTCTTTATCCTCAATACCTTCTGCTTTTACATTGTAAACTTACCGTCTTCACGGTTTTTGGCTTTCAGTGCTAACCTTTGTATTTTTAACTTTTAAATCTCATAGACATCTAATCTTTTACGTATCTATTATTATCGCATTATTCCAAACTCTTTTAAAATAATAATTATATTTAAATATTTTAGTCCTTTCAAAAGTTTTTCTTCCCTAACCTTTCAAAAATCTTCTCCAAATTTCCTACCTTGTGGATATTATTTTACCCAAGTGTTTTTATTCTGTTAGCCCCCTTTTCCTTAATGTCTAGGATAAGCACCATCTTTGGAAGCACGGCCTCAAGATGATGACATGGAGGGGACTCACACTTACAGGTAGGGGAGCTTCAGGTCTGCCGGCCCTCTCCTCCCTCCTTGTCACCCCTCAACCTCTGGGCTGCCCTTTGGGCTCATAACAATGGATCTCAGAGCCCAAGGAGGTTGGGCTTCCACTCTGGGGGACTCTGGAAGCTCCTGGGTTAACTACTCTCAGGGCTCTGGTTTTCTCCATGTAGATAAAATACTTGATTTCTTGGAACAATTTTTCTTTCTCAGTCTGAGGGCTCTGATATATACATAACCTTTGTATTTGGGCCATCGACACCAACCACATGCCGTGAGGCTGGAGGGAATGGAAGGAGAGCAGGTGGTTATGACTGCAGACCTTGGCCTGACCCCAGGGAGCGCCGGGGTGGTTTTATCATTTCCTGGGCATCACAGCACTGTTTTCCAGGCTGGGCTTCTGTACCACTTGCTGTTATACCGTATTTTCAAATTGACCCACCTTCCTTTCCAGTGGGAATATGAACATTTTTTCTCTTGATGCATGATTCTCCTTAGCTTCCTCCCCTATTATGGAGTTCAAAAAGAATGTGGCTAGGGCAAAGAAGTTTCTGCTTTCGGGGTTAAACATCAGGCTTGCTGCAACTCTGCCAGGCAGAACGGCTTTCTTCATGTGGCAAGACCCAAAGTGGGCAGCCAGGTCCACCTGGGGACAAGGGCGCCAGACTCACCTCTCACTGGAGGCTGGGAAGGATTCTCAATGCACAGGAAAGTTCTCTGCCCCTCATCCATCTCCCAAAAAAGGAAGAGGACACACTTCTGGAGAGGTTAGAACTCTTCAAAGAAAACATGCCACACGTACTGACGACGCCCTCATCTTCACACAGCTGCCCCCATCATAACTTCCCTTTGGTTTTCTACAGCCTGCCACTCAATCCTTAAGAAAGAGTTCTTTTGGGTGCTTGGGGTTTTCAAAGCAAGGACCCTGATATTTCGGTCTTTATATAAAAACACATCATTGGGGGAGACCTCAATTTTAAAACCTGCCTCTTCCCATTTTCAAGGAGGTTTATATTACTTGTTCCTCTGGTTATCAAGGAAAATAATTGAAAAGAGAATAAGTGCACTCTGACTTCTGTCACTTTTAAGCTATGCAGATGACAGGAACATCTTTTTTTCCAGTTTTGATTTGGCTTCCTGGCAAGCTTCTTGTTTTTCTTAACATATACATTCTTTAAGTCAATATGCGTGCTCTCAGCTCATACATATGATCCCTGGTGATCTTTTAAGTGTCTATTCAATCTGCATATCCCAAGGCAGAATTAATCATCCGTGGTAATCTGAAAGTCAAGATTGGGTCATTTATTCACTTAACAAATGTCTATTATGTTTCCACTATGAGCCATATTGGAATGCTGTTAGAAAATGGGTGAATTGCATTCCTATGAGCCATTCTTTCTGAGGCAAACGTAATAGCCTAATGGAAAATTTCTCTCCATACTTACCTAATGGACAGCTAATATATTCTACACCTTCTCCAGGGCCCAGAGCTTTATTGTCTTCTATGCCGGGACCCATCCCAGTTAGACTTCTTTAGGGGGTTGCTTTCACCACTCTTCATAGAATATGACAGTTAGCAAAATGCCTTGCAGTGGGCACTGAACACTGAACACTGTCAAATAAATGTGCATTCCTCACTAAAAAGGCTTTGCTTTCTAAAGATTGTATTCAATACTTTCCACAGCTTCCCTCTTGCGTTACGGGTGACATTTTCAAAGTGCAATGCCAAGTCAGGGACCCCACTTTCTTAGGCTTATGGGAAGGATGTGAAGGTGCCTGTTCTGTGACCCTAGCAATTGTTGGGGGCTGGAAAAATGAGGAGAGACTGTGTTCACCTTACTAGCAGGATGAGGAGACCAGAAGTAATTCACCAGGACAGCAGAAATGGTGGAGTTTAGCATGGTGGTGGTGGCTCCCTTGTACACTACTAAGAAATGATCCCACAAACCACCTTTGGGATGAGTGGGGAAGTCTTCAATTCCCTGCATTAGAGAGACACTCTTGCCCAGCCAGCTTCCTCCAGGTGATGTGGAATGCCAGGTTTGGGATTTTCATATGCTGCTGCTGCCAGCTCAGCTGCGTCCTCCCTAAGAACAGGGCGTCTGAGACACACCCACTCCCCAACCCTGCCGAATGTCTGCTCTTGAAATAATCTGTTTGCAATTTCATTCCACATTTCTCCTGATTTTCCCTCCTCTTCCCTAACTTCTCCTCTCTGAACAATGTGACATAGAGCAAAGTGGGTCTCAAGAAATGGTCTAATCCTACTATGCTCCAGAAACAGTTGTGTGCTGGTAGGTGTTTAACAACCAGATCTCCAGGAGAAAAAAAGCTCTGATTTGTGGTGTTTGTTAACTCCCATGGTGCAAATACCGCCACCATGGCTGATTTCAAGCTACCACTCTCCATCACTGCACACAGAGTTGGGAAGAGATGCATGCAGTTGACTCTGGAAGGTCAGTGTCGGCGGACTGCAGCACAGCACTGTGACCTCCATTTGAAGAGGCCCCACGAGGCAGAGTCTTCAAGCTGGACACCGTGGGTGCTAGCGGAGCCATTCAGAGCTGCAGATTGGGTTTTCTAGAAGCAGGCCCTGAGATGGAATTTGGGGAGGAAGCAGCACTGGGCAGAGGGAGAAGCCAAACTGTGACCCCGTCCTCTAAGGGCCTCGAAGCTAGCCTTTGTGCTCCTTCAGTCTCAGGACAAGGGCTCCTCTGGGAGAGGTGCAGCTGAGGCAGACCCTGTAGGAGCTGGCAAGAGGAGGCTGCCTAATGACCACATGCCCCACACCTGGGCAAGGAGTCCTGCTTCAGAGGGAGAGCTGGGTGGCACTGCCCAGTGTCTGGCATGTCCAGATACACCCAAGTTGGGGTGTGGAGCCCCTACTGGAGCTTTCAGCGGTAGTCCCGGCCACCTGTGCCTGTCCTCCGTTACCTGTAGCCTTGCTCCTCACCTGGTCCCTGCCTGTCCCATTGCTCAGCTTTGCTTGTAGCTTCCAAGTCTCCAGCTCATCCTACTCACGGCTGAAGGTCCTGGCAGGCTCCCTCCTGAATCCCACCCAGGTTAGACTCCGCTTTGTCTGCCCAGGTTGGACATTTCTGCCTGCATCCTCGGGGCATCTGACCTCAGTGCTTGGGCCTCGCTCCTTGGTGCTGACAGCTTGTGGTGAGCCCGCCCTGCTGGGCAGACAGGCTGGGGTGCCTGGGCATGGCGCTCACTCCCCAGGGCCCCTGCTGACTCTGGGTTGGACCCTGGCCCCAGGCAGGATGCAAGGTCTGCTTTGTGCACAGGTGGGGTGGACAAAGGCGGCAACTGCACCTCCTCAAACCAGACTGAGGAGAATGAGTGGAGCTGGTCTACTATGCAGGAGCTGGAAGTGACCTCACAGCTCCTGCAGGCTCCTCTCTTCATGTACTTACAAGGACACCACAATGCAGAGTAAATACGCAGCTGGTTAGGAGCAGAGCTGGGAATAAAGCCCTGTCCAGAGCCTTTTTATACATCCTTCTCCATGACTGAACTACAGTCCCTTCTTTCCCCTTCCTCGAGACAGTTGTGTGTTTAGAAACGGCCTCATTGGCAGATTTTCTATTCTCCTTGGTTAGCTACTCGGAACACTCAGCCCCATTCTGGCAGGTGGCCTCTCTGTTTGAGGAATTATCCTGCCTGCCAACTGGGTGCTGGATTTACATGCTAGCTGGGCCGCAGGGAAATCATCTGGAATAGCTAAGGGGCTCATTCATCTCAGACTTCTCAGCCTCCAGGGCAGATGTGCCTGGCGTGGATGCCTTCTGCCCTCACAGAACTTGTCCTGGGGCCTCAGCCCCTGCCTCCAGGGAAGCAGAGCCTCAGGGCCTTGCTGATGAGCTTCATCACTGGCCCAAGGCTCCCATGGCTCTTATGGCTCTTATTTCCACTTTATCCTCTGTGAGTGCATTCTTTTTTTTTTTTTTTTTGACGGCATCATGTTCTTTCACCAGGCTGGAGTGCAGCGGTGCCATCTCGGCTCACTGCAACCCTCCGCCTCCCGGCTTCAAGTGATTCCCCTGCCTCAGCCTCCCAAGTAGCTGGGGCTACAGGCATGCACCATTACGTCTGGCTAATTTTTTAAATTTTAGTAGAGATGGGGTTTCACCATGTTGGCCAGGATGGTCTCAATCTCCTGACCTCGTGTTCTGCCCGCCTCGGCCTCCCAAAGTGCTGGGATTACAGGCGTGAGCCACAAGGTCCGGCTATGCATTTTCTTTATTATTACAAAAAAAAATTTCTGGTGTGACAGGGTCTCACTCTGTCGCCCAGGCTGGAGTGCAGTGGTGCAATCATGGCTCACTGTAGCCTCAAACTCCTGGCCTCAAGTGATCCTCCCAACTCAGCCTCTGGAGTAGCTGGGACTGCAGCTGTGCAGCACCGTGCTTGGCTAATTTTATTTTGTAGACACAGAGTCTTGCCATGTTGTGCAGACTGGTCTTGAACTCCTGCCTCAGCCTCCCAAAGTGCTGGGATTCCAAGTGTGGGCCACCATGCCTGGCCATTGCACTCTGTTAGCAAACATGGTACCTAAAAGAATGACGTCATCCTGTTCTACTCTTTTAATGTGATCCTTTAGCGAACATTTAGTTAGTTATTTTTCAAAACTTTCTAGCTTTTATCTGTAATTGTTAGTTTCAGTCTGTTTTCTGTTATTTCAGAGTACCTTTGTTACCTTTATAATTTACTCTCTCTGCTAATTTTAGTCAAATTATTGAACTGATTTCCCCCGTAAATGATGAGCCAGAGGTCTAGGCTCCATGGTGGATGGGGTATCAGCTGCGGGGGCAGTTTCTGTCCTAAGCAAGGAGCCGGGGAGAGCCTGGGCTTCACTCAGCTGCAGAATACCCCCTTCTGGCCCTCTTTCATGGAATTCTCTTTCTCTCCTTGGGTGAATATTTTGATTCAAAGACAGCTAGCAAGGAAGGGTAGGCAAAGCTCCTGTAACCTACCCAGAGTGGGTATAAAATAGTTACATACCAAAATTAGGGCGTGGAAGGGAGGTGGTGTGTGCTGTCGTCAAATGAGAAGCACCGTGGAAACAAGGAAGCCTGGGGGGAAGCTAGAAAGGTGTTTTGTTGTGGGGGACTGTATCCAAACAGGAAGTTGCTTTCTTCCCACCAAAATGCGGGGGTCATATATTTCCCCTCCTGCTGCAGAATCAGAGGCCAGATCAGAGCTCCAGGCTCACAGCCACAAAGCCAAGAGCATGAATAGAGAGAGAAGCCATTTCCCAGCTAACGAGCAGCTGCTGCCCGAACACTGAGGAGCGGGCAGCTGGAGGGAAGGAAAAGCATTGTGCATTTCAACAGCACATGGGGGCTTGCTTTACCCAGAGTCTAGAATTGTAGCTGATGGAAACGCTGCACTGACAAACAGAGCTTTGAAGACTGGCAGACAATGGGATGAAGCTTTCTATGTGACTGGTATTAAAAATCCAAAGAAGCATGAGACAGATGGAAAGGATCGATGTATCCAAGTCAAACGAAGAGACGTTGACCCCAGCCAGGTCCACTTTCCTGGTGAGGAGGAATTGACAGTAACAGAATTCCAGTGTGCAGAAAGTGTAGCTCCGTATGTGAAGAATTATGCTCGGTTAACTCTACACAACTGTACACGCATAGGTTCAGTCATGCTTAGTGAATTATTTTGCCAAAGAACCTGTATTAATTTGCTATGGTTGTCATAACAAAGTACCACAGACTGGGTGCTTGAACAACAGAGATTTATTTTCTCACAGTGCTGGAGGCTAGAAGTCTGAGATCAAGAGGAGGGCAGGGCTGGTTTCTCCTGAGGCCTCGCTCCTTGGCTTGTAGTTGCCATCTTCTCCCTGTGTTTTCACTCGTCTTCCCTCTGTGTGCATCTGTGTCCTCATCTCCTCTTCTTGTAAGGACACCAGCCGTATTGGATCAGGGCCCATTTTAATGACTTCATTTTAGTTTAACTACCTCTTTGAAGACCCTCTCTGCAAATACAGTCACATTCTGGGAAATTGGAGGTTAGTTAGGACTTCAGTCTATGAATTTGGAGGGACACAATTCAGCCCCATTTCAGAACCCTTCCTGGTATTGTTAAGGATGGATGTCTGGTCAGGCTATTCCCAGGGGACAGTTTCTGCCACAATCCTGGAGTACAGGCTATGCACAGCAGATAGACAACGCCCCCTTAAAGAATACTACCTTAGGAACTAACTCCATTAAGCTGGACATACCAATGGACACAAGGCCCAAATTCCTCAAATTTGGGAAGTGGTCCTGTCTTGTGATAGCACAATAAGACAATGATTCTTACACTTCCCACAACCCAGTCCCTCGGTGAGGACATACGTGGTCTAGAATGCATTGTCTTCATTCTCTGGCCTCAAATCCATATTCTATGTGAATGTTTGTTGCATTTAACTATGCAATTCTTTGCTCAGGGGCTGGGTTTTCCATGCCCAGGGCTGACATCTGTGAGTGTAGTGGAGCACCCAGGCATAACTGGATGACGAAAATGAGGTGGCAAGTCTTGCTAAATGGAGCTCCGACATCCATTCTCTGCTCACTGCTAGCAGAGCCCTAATTTTATTTGGGTTTAGGAATATGTCCAGCTTAAAAAGCTATACCTTTCATCCTCGCATTCCAGGTAAGAATGATGATGCAATACAGTTCTGGCCAGGGAGGTAGGAACAGAGATGACTAGGTGGACTTCCAGGTTTCAGGAAAGTTTACAGAGAGCTCAGGCAGTCCGTTCCATTTGCTTGTTGCCATTTCTCCTTATTCCTGTCTAGAACAGGGATGTGATGGCTGGAGTACCAGCAGCCACCTTGTAAGCATGAACATGAAGATGGTAGAGTGGTGATCCAGACAGAAACTGGGTTCCTCATGACCTTGGGGAACTGTCACACCAGCTCTGGCCTCCTCTGAATTCTCTTCACATGAGGGGAAAAAACAAGTCCCCAGGGCTGCTGGCCTCTCCAATGGCTCAGCCTGGAGCACAGTTGTGAATGGCCCTTCCTGGCATAGGTCACCTAGTGGCTCTGTGAATCCCTGTTTTATGTAAGCCACTATTTGGGGTTTCTATTACCCACCACCAAACATTATTATTTAACTGATGCAGGTGAGTTGCAATTATTAGAATCATTCTATTATTCTCCCTAGATTCAGGTACAGGATCTTCTGAAAATCAATAGGCTCCCCCTCCACCCATCAGAAAAGCAGATGAGAGGACTTGGGCACACCTGGGTTCACATATTCTCTCATCATTTATCAGCTGTGTGACCTTGGACAAACTTTTTTCAGCTCTCTGAGCCTCGCTGTCTTGTGTGCCATCATACAGGGTTGTTGGGCTGATTTAGTGAAAGAATGTATGTAAAGCACCCGGCTTGGACCCTTAGAACCTTGTACACAGGGCTTGGCACATGGCCCTCCTGCTATTAGGACATTACTTAACCCTGCAGAGGAAGACTCAAGTCCAGGTGTCCAGCTTACTCTTCCCCCAGGTGCAAGTCTTCCTGGATCTCTCTCTGGCTGCTTGTAGGACATTTCCGGTTAGCTCTTCTGTTGGCCTCTTCTAGCCTGGTCCCCAACCACCCTCTCTCTGATGATGCCACTATCTATCCTATCTCTCGTTCTCATGCCTATTGGCTTCACTCACTATACCATGGCACAGTGCGTCATGCCATGCTATGGCACAACACACTATGCCTTGCTATGCCATGCCACCCCTGCTTCTAGTGGTTTCCAAAGTCCTTCAGAAGGGGATCATCCAGGAGATGCGAAGTTGTGTAGAGACGCGGTTGAAGCCAGCCTCTTAGGGCCAAGTGAACATGATAATGCAATGCTTGGGGCTGCCTTTCTACCCTTTCACTGTGGAATCTCTCTAGAGTGGCTCAGGAGAGCGCTTTGATGTAGGGTCTGGCCCAAGGGGAGCTCATTTGCCAAGGCAGGGAGTGGGGCAGGAAGGTTTGCAGGCAGTGAGCACTGGGCTCTGGGTGGGGTGCAGCAGAAACTCAAGTCAAATTTAGAAACCAACTGTCATGTGTCCACCAGGCCAAGTAGGAAAGGATTTTTCCACACCTGAGTCTGGAAAATGTGGGGCTTCAGTGCCTTTCTCTAGTTGCATGAAGTAGAACTTTCCCTAAGTTCTGGGGCAGCAGCAGCGCAGGTCAGGCAGAGAGAGACACTCACCCCTAATTCAGTGAACCACAGCTCACCCTGTAAAGAGGAACTTCCTCGGTAAGCAGGAACCCTCTCTTCCAGACTTCCTGATATACAACAAAGGGTGGACGACGGGACAGGCTTCCAGGGTCCTGGCAGCAGGCTGGCGGGTGAAGGCACTTATCCTGTGCCTTCACCATGTCACAGCTGGTGCAGGGAGTCCCAGAGAAAAGTAGCGGCACTCCTTTCTGGGACGGAACTGCAGCTTGCTGGGCCCTCTCGCCACGCCTCCTCGTTCTTCTCTGGACTTAATCAGAGCGTCTCTCTATGCAAGCATCTCTCTCCACTATCTTCACCTGGGAGAATCACTACTTTTTGTAGGAAACAAAAATTTCCCTTTATGTTAATATCAAACTATATACTAATATAAAACTTTAAACTTAATATGTTACAGTTCAGTGTTTAATTTAAAAAACCTAATCAGTTTTTACCTTGACATTTATTAATGAGGGTTCTATTTATAACTATATACCTATATCTATTTATCTATACACAGGTATACACATAAACATTTTTAAGAATCAAGGAATCAATTTCTCTATATACATCATGCTTGTTTTCTTGTTTCCTTCACATAATATTTATTTTCTCAAAAAACAAAACCCAACAGCAACATACTATGCCATGCCATGAACAATGCCACACCATACTACGCCGAACGACATCAGGCCACACTACCCTAGACTATGCCATACCAGCGCATGCCACACTAGACTATACCATACCACACCCTGCCACACCATACCGTGCCATGCCACGCCACATACCAGCTGGTGCAGGGAGCCCCAGGGAAAGCAGGGGCACTCCTTTCTGGAATGGAGTGGCGGCCCGCTGGGCCCTCTCGCCATGCCCCCTCGTTCTTCTCCAGACCTAATTGGAGCGTCTCTCTTTCCTTCCTAGAGCTGCCAGCAAAGCACTCCAGAAGTACACTCGCAAAACTGTGTATGAATGGGAGTGTGCATGAGTGTGAGTGCACGAGAGTGTGAATATGCGTGTGTGCGTGTGAACGTGAGTGTGCGTGAGTGAGCATGAGTGTGAGAGTGGAAGTGAGCATGTGCGAGCATGTGAATGTGATGGATGAGTGCAAATATGACTGTGAGTACGAGCATGTGTGTGTGTGAGTGTGAATATATGTGTGATTGTGCATCCTCTTATCTGCTGTGAGGCCCCCTCTGTTTTCTGGCTCTGCTGACCCTCTTGGCCTCTTCCTTCTGCACGGTGCCATTATCCATGGGCTTCGTTTCATCTCTGGTGATGGAGTCCCTCTGTTGGCATCTACAGGTGAATTTTGGGCTTGATGTCTTTTCCCAATCCCAGCACTGCTGAGGCCTGCAGAGTTCTGGGCCAGTGTGGTGGTCGGTCCAGCCATGCTGCTGTGGCCGCCCTTTGGACTCTGCCGCCTGCTCCCGATAGTCTTCTTGAGGGTCACCATGATCACTCAGTTTCCAAGGCCCATGAGCTTAGTGATAACTTCTCTCCACACCTGCTGCCGCGACCTTCACTTGTTTTCTCTTTATCAGCTTATCTCTTGTATGAAGATGTTGCCAAAGCATTTGACCTCATTCTTCTCTCTTTACACTAGTGTTCCTCAAGCTTTTAAAAACCCATGCCTCTAATAAAAAATCAAGTAAATATGGATTTAAAAACACATTGGAACAATGGCTGTGGTATCAAACTATATGCATTCCCTGTCCCCCCGATCTCTGGCCTGCAAAACGTCGTACTGTGTCGTCTGAGGGGTGTGTACTCATTTTCTTCTTCTGTGCTGTGCTACATTTCCAGAATCACTGCTCAGAACTCTCTGACAGGGAAATCTTACTTGGAGATAATGGGTGTTGTAAGCCTACGTTCGGAATAAAATAAATCAGGGTTCACATATGCCTCCATCATTTGTCAGCTGTATGACCTTGGACAAAATACTCCAGCTCTCTGAGCCTCACTTTCTTGAGTGCGTTATCATGCAGGTTGTTGAGAGGATTTAGTGAGAGAATGTATGTGAAGCACCTGGATCCTTGTACACAGTGCTTGGCACATCACATGTTCCTCCAGAGGAAGACTCAAGTCCACACGTCCAGGGCTTGCTCTTCCCTAGAGTGCAACTCTTTCTGTATCTCTCTCTGGCTGCTGCAGGACATTTCTGGTTAGCTCTCCTGTTGGTCCTTTTAGTTCAGTCCCCAGCTGTGCTCTCGAAGCCACAGTCCATCCTATCTCTGGTTCTCCTATCAGCTCCACTTACCATACTATGCCATGCCATGAAAAGATGCCACACCATACTACACCACACCACATCAGAAGACACTATCCTAGACTACATTATGCCATACCAGAGAATGCCACACCAGATTATACCATACCACACCCTGCCATGCCATACCATGCCATGCCATGCCACAGCATAGCTGGTGCAGACAATTGCCCCAGATTCACCCTTGCTCATTCTTGGGACCTTGACCCTGTCCTCCAGTGTCCATCCTGGCCTCTGTCCCCTTTGATTGGGTTAACCTATTTGAACTCCATTCTTGGCTTCTAACATAAGTGTCCCAGCTCTTCTCCCTCCTTGGAGTTTGGAATCCCCCCAGTATTCGGGGAAGACACCCCTCCTCAATCCCTGGGTTGCAGAACCTGGAATCATCTTCTGCAGAATGGAGAGATAATCCCTGTTCACCTCTCCACTATCTCCACCTGGGAGAATCACTACTTTTTGTAGGAAACAAAAATTTCCCTTCATGTTAATATCAAACTATATGCTAATATAAAACTTTAATATTTGAACTTAATATGTTAGAGTTCAGTGTTTAATTTAAAAAACCTAATTAGTTATTACCTTGACATTTATTAATGAGGGTTCTATTTATAACTATATACCTACATCTATTTATCTATGCACAGGTATACACATAAACATTTTTAAGAATCAAGCAATCAATTTCTCTATATACATAATGCTTGCTTGCTTGTTTCCTTCACATAATATTTATTTTCTCAAAAAACAAAACCTAACAACAGAAAAGTATGCTCTACAAGAAAGTTGACCTTTTGGCAGCCATGTTGTCATGATTTATGTGTCTAGTTTTCTTCTTCCTCTTAGCACCTACAGCATCTTGACACACACACACAGTGTCCTTGACTGAATACACTTTGTAAGGGAAACCTTACAAGTTGATGGTGCCTCACAGTTTCTTCCTGACTGCTGCAGACCCAGGAGGAGTTGGGGAGTTACTATGATTGTGAAACTTTTTAGCTACTGCACTTGCTATTCCTTTTTCCTAGTATTTATCCAATGATGTCAACTGTGAAGTGGGCAAGCATCACAGCAGACCAAATACAATAGGATTATTTATATACAAATAGAGGTTAAGTGTGTATATAGGTGTGTATTTTTATTATTTGATGTGAACCTAGCATTTTATATATGCTTTACTATAGTGGCAACTAGCATTTACTAAGAATAAGGGCCCAAGAGGCTGTTTGCCAGCATAATTCCCAGGAAGAGGTTCTGGTAGGGACCTTGCCCAGAAACGGCACTGCATGTTACTATTTTCCAGGTTACCTTTTCTTGAAATCTTCAGAGTCATCTGCAACTCCTCTCTCCACTTTTCATTCATCCTTTTTTTAGTGAGAAGTTCAAAGTTGGTTGGGAAGAGATGTGCTGTGGAGAAAGTCAGTAATCCCTCTTGAGGGAGGTTTTGCAGAAGGGGGATTGTTGAGCTGAATCTTGAAGGGTGATGGAGAGTGTGATGGTTAATACTGAGTGTCAACTTGATTGGATTGAAGGATGCAAAATATCGTTCCTGGGTGTGTCTGTGAGGGTGTTGCCAAAAGAGATTAACATTTGAGTCAGTGGACTGGGAAAGCCAGACTCACCCTTAATCTGGGTGGGCACCATCTAATCAGCTGCCAGTGTGGCCAGAATAAAAAGCAGGCAGAAGATCAAACATTGGACTCCAAGTTCTTCAGCTTTGGGACTCGGACTGGCTTCCTTGCTCCTCAGCTTGCAGGTGGCCTATCATGGGACCTTGTGATCGTGTGAGTTAATACTCCTTAATAAACTCCCCTTTATATATATATCTATCCTATTAGTTCTGTCCCTGTAGAGAACTTGGACTAACACAGAGAGCTTGGCAAATTGGGTAGGCATAGTGTGAAGAAGGCCTTCCTCATTTACAATGCAAATAGTCATTAAATATACCCTTCCTCTTTTTTTTCTTGGAATCACTTCTATGATTTGTTCTATTTCTTCCTTATCCATGACTGCCCTAGTTCAGGCACGACGGTCATTCCTCAACCTTGGGCTACAGCCCCCGAACTCACTTCCCTGCCCTTTCGTGCATCCTTCACCTCCTTCAGCATCTCACACAGTCTCTTGTGCCTCACAGTGTTTACTGGATAATGTATGGGCTAAATAAGTCATCATGAAATGCTGTCCCCCTATTTCTCTCTGTGATCTATGATGTACAGGATGACATCTATGCTCTGTATTTCTGGCGTTCAATGTCTTCTACCTCCTTACCCTAACCTGTGTTTCCCATTACTTTTCTGAACCAGCTCTCCATCCCTGCCAAACAGGTCTGCTTACTCTCTCTTCAGTTCACACAGAAAGTTTGGACCTTTGTTCATATGCTTCTGATTTCTCTGGAACTATCCTGATCCTTTTTGGGTTTTGTTTTTTTCATAAGGTTTTAGGGTCATTAATTTTTTTTTTTTTTTGAGTCTCACTCCGTTGCCTAAGCTGGAGTGCAATGTTGCAGTCGGGGCTCACTGATACCTCCGCCTCCCAGGTTCAAGTGATTCTCCTGCCTCAGCCTCCCTAGTAGCTGGGATTACAGGTGCCAGCGACCATGCCTGGATTTTTTTTTTTTTTTTTTTTTTTGCATTTTTAGTAGAGATGGAGTTTCACCATGTTGACCGAGCTGCTCTAGATATTCCTGACCTCAAGTGATCCGCCTGCCTCGGCCTCCCAAAGTGTTGGGATTACAGGCGTGAGCCACTGCGCCCAGCCCATTAGTATTTTTAAATTGACAGATAAATAATTGTATATATTTATTGTGTACAACATGTTGTTTTGAAATATGTGTATATTGTCACATGGCTAAATGGAGATAACTAATGTATGCATTATCTCACCTACTTATGCTTTTTGTGGTGAGATGTAACTTGATCTTAAACAACCTTCAAGACTCAGCTCAAGGTCTCTCCCCTCCACAGACCTGAAATCTAGTTTTCTGTCTTTCATTTCTAATCTTCTGGTTTCTCCAAATGGCTTCCTTTCTTAAACTCCTAATTTGTGTTATTTATGAATTCACTTTGCAATTCATCATTTCTGTCTTGTAAGTAGATTTTATGATTGCCTTGTCTTAGAGTGAACATATTTCAATGGGTATTAGTATAATGGAAAGTTTGTAAGCTCCCTGAGAGCAAGGATTTTGTACTTATTTGTATGCCCTAGAGCAGTGTTATTCATGCTGGTGTGCAGATCAGTGTCCATCAGCAAGCAAGATCTGAAATGAGAACACAGCAAGAGAGAATAAGAGTTGAGTAATGTTCCTAGTAACAGGACATTGGCATGGCATCCAAGCATGTGTCATGGGCTTTCTTTTATTAAACAGGGAATAGACCAGATTGGGTGCTGTTGAATTCTTGTGGTGAGTCCCATCTGGTGCAAACTGCATACAAGTCACTCATAGTAGGGCCACACATCACACTGCATGGATTGGGAATGACAGCAGCTGCACCTTCACCTTAGATAGTTTGGTCAGCAGCACCTGTAGAATGGAACCCTGCACACTGCAGGTGCTCCCAAGGTGCTAGTACATTGATAAACACTACAGATAGGACACATTAATAGCTGTGTTTTTCTTTTCTATCCTTGTATAAAAATCAGAAGTATTAATGTAGTTGCAATGCAAATTCAATTCACGTTAGGTATACAACCCAGATGTTACCTGGGCTACCCTGACCCTTAGGAACAAAATGGGCCTGTGGCTTATGATTCTCCAATTATGGAGAATCAGAGGTCTTCCTCGAGATTTTTTTTTTTTTTTTTTGAGATGGAGTCTTGCTCTGTTGCCCAGGCCGGAGTGTAGTGGCACAATCTTGGCTCACTGCAACCTCTGCCTTCTGGGTTCAAGTGATTCTCCCTGTCTCAGCTTCCCTCGTAGCTGGGATTACAGGCACCCACCACCACGCCCAGCTAATTTTTGTATTTTTGTAGAGATAGGGTTTCATCATGTTGGCCAGGTTGGTCTCGAACTCTTGACCTCAGGTGATCCGCCTGCCTTGGCTTCCTACAGGCGTGAGCCACCTCACCCGACTCTTCCTCGAGGTTTATGGAAGGCTTTGGTATGGGTTTTCCCGACCATGTCTTCCCCAGCTCACAGGGGGCCTTACTTCTACATCGCGCCATCCCATGCTCCCCATCGCCTTGACCCAGATGAGGGAGTTCAGCCGTTTTACTCATTTTCACAACTCCCCTTGCTCTGAGGTAGAAAAAAAAAAAAACTCTCACTAAAGCTTTTGTGTGGATAACAGACTTTGCTGAAGTTTGGGGGAGACAGACCAATTTTTGTTCCACAGAAGTATCATATTAAAAAACTCATCGCTCAAGCTTTTCACCACTTCTCATGCTTCCGGATGCTACTCAAGGGTCGAACTTCCTGCTCCTTCCCTCGTGCTCTCACCTTGGTCTCCTGTGGCTGACATAATCCATTCCTCTACCCTTTCCTGAGTCAGGCCCTCGACGAATGCTTTAATTTCCTCCCCAGGATGCTAGTGCAGCCATCGTCACTCACTGCCTAGATAAAGAAATTTGAGGCTGTATTAGTCAACCCGAAACTCTTGAAATCAATCCGACATTCTTTCCACATTTCGGCAATGTGCGCTGACTGCTCATGAGACTGTGGTCCTGTAAGAAAGAATCAATCCACACCTCACACTCCTTTCTGCTTCTGGGAGCTAATGCCGCCAGTGCAGTGATACATGGAAGTGAAATGCAAGCATGATTGGCTCCATTTACCACCTAGAGCCCCCTTCCCCATCCCATTACATTCCTATATAAGAATGGGGTGGAGTGATTTTTTTCCCCCATTATACGTATGAAAATCACCTGTCTTAAATGACTAGCAGACTCAGCTGCTCCTTTCTAAGGTGGGAATTCTCTTTGTCACTCACTCATTGGTGGTTAACATCCATGGGCTCGTGGAGGAAGAGAGAGATGGTCCGTGGTGGCTTCATTTGCAGAATAGTCTGAAGCTTTTTGGGTGTGGAGGTCACTCTGTCTTGCTATGTTCTGTGCTTTGACAATGAAACTGGGTCAATGAAAATTAGACTTACTGGGGCCTTCCCTTATTCTGTGGGGGCTGCTTTTCCTGCCTATTATCCATCATATTGATTTTTTGTTGCAAGACTTGTCTCTGTTATGTTTTCAGTAGCTAAGAGCCAATGATGCTGCCAATTGTGGCATTGTCAGAGAATCCAGGGAGCCGAGTTGTGGTCTAACAATAGGAGAAAAACCCATATAACACCGGGTGATGTCATGAGAGGTGGATGAAGGCCATGCTTGTGTCCCTAGAACTGAAAGTCTCAAGATGGGTGATCACCCTCTTGGAGCCAGAGGTCATTGATCCTGCTAATCCTTCCCTCCCAGAGGAGAGGTAGGGTGTGGAGCCGTGGTGGCAGCCATTTCCCAGGAATGGAGTGGCAGAGGGAGCCGAGGGGCAGCAGCAATTTGCCTCACCTTAGGGTGAGTCTAAGCCGAGAAGAAAAGAGGGAGGAGGAATGGGGGAAATGGCTACGTGTCACCAGGACTGCCATTTACTAGCGACCGGGGTAAGGCACTTACTCCACCTCTCTCAGAATAAACTCTTAAGTCCTATCCCCTACCTGGCATTTGCATTTTAAAAATCCTCAGCAGCTTCTTGGGAGTAGGTGGCTGGCACTTTGTGCCCAAAGTCTGAGAGAAGAGGAATATGTGAGCCAATTTCTGTGGTTTTGTTCTTGGGTTTTGTCTCATGTGACGAAGGCAGAGTTGGTGCAGCCAAGCTGGAGTAGGCTGAGGAGTTTGGAGGAGGTGACTTTTGAGCTGGTGTTCAAGCTGGAATAGAAGTTTGTCAGGCAGATACAAGAGAGGTGAGCAACGCTGGGCAGTGGGTACCACACATGCAGACTGATCGACTGACCCTAGTCTCTCTCCAGCCCAAGTGCAAGTGGCAGAGAACATTCCCTGCTGAGATTTTTGCAGAAGGAAGCAGGAATCACAGTGGCTGAGGTAAACTGAGCCAGGGTTGAGTCTTGAAGTGACTGTTTGGGATGCCTTCACTGCTGCCTTCCAGCTTGGGAGGGCAAAGCTGACCTTTTGGGGACTGGGAACGTGCTTAGCTGACTGGCCCACCACCACCTGCACAGTTTCCATACTTGTACTGGTCCGCAGGGCATTGCCTGAAAAGGATCCCGGGCTACACTGTTGTGTTCATTGACTTTGCAGGAATCCACGCATGCAGTTGCCAAAATCCACGAGTGGCAGGATACATTTGCAGGATACATTTGCAAGATACATTTGCAGGATACATTTGCAGGATACATTTGCAGGATACATTTGCAGGATACATTTGCAGGATGTTTTATGGACAAGTGCATCCTTTAGTCCCTGCAACTGAGGTGAGCCACATGTCACCCTGAGCCACTGTGCTTTGTGTTCAAAGCTCATTCATTCCTCCTCCCACTTCCTGCTGATCCTTGCCTTACCTCTGGCTGTCCCTGGAAGGTGGCTGCTTGTTATCTGTGACAGCCCAGGAAGAGGAAGGAGGAGAGGCAAAGCTGGAGAGGGGCTGGGAGGGAGGAGAGGAGGGAAACATCGGTAAACCCACCATTATGCACCTTGCAGTCCCTGGAGGGCTATCAACAAAGCTCCCTCCCCAGCTCTGCATCTCTCCCAGAAGTAGTCTCTTTGAGTGGGAGCAGCAGAATCTTTCTAAACCTCCTCAGGCATTATTATGTGGATCTGAGTAAAGAACCACCCTGTAAACCCACGGCAGAGCTATGCCATGACTCTGGCCTGTTAGGGAAAATTCTATAAACTGGCTCTCTCTTGAGTCACCAGTATCATTCATTCACAAGATAGTTTGGGAGCTCCTCCAGTGGTAAAGGCCCTGCAAACTCCTGGGGATAACATGAATAAGATGCTTCTGAGGGTCTTACTGTTTGGGGGAGGGTGAAGGCAGTGTGATTATTTCAATCTCTCAAAGTGTTCTGTGGAGTGGACTCTACTATTCATATTTGACAGGTGAGTAGCATGAGGCTTTGCAAGGTTGATGCACCCAAGACCACCCAGCTGATAGGTAAAAGAGCCAGAATTCAAACTCAGATCTTTTTGATTTGTAGTTCAAAGAGGTAGGTGAAAGAGATATTTACCTTCTTTGTCTTATGTGACAAAGTCAGAGTTGGTGCAGCCAAGCTGGAGTAAGATGAGGAGTTTGGAGGAGGTGATTTTTGGGCTGGTGTTCCAGCCGGAATAGAAGTTTGTCATGCGGATACAAGCGAGATGGGCACCCCAGGCGGTGGGTACCACACGTGCAGAGGTGGGAAAAACCAGCTGCAAGGTCTACCTAGGGCTGCCAAAGTCCTGCCTGGTAGGCGTGTGGGGTAACAAAAGGGCCTGGCACACCATTCTAAGAACAGGTACTTTCCTGAGGGTGTTGAGGAGGATGTGGGGTGCAGGGGGTGGTTAGAACGGTGTCTTTCAAAGATTCCCTGCAGATGGCACCTTGGCCAGGACACCCAGGAGACCCTTGGGTGCTTGAGAAGAAGTGCTGTCCAGTTAGGTGGAGCCCTAGGTGACTGGAGCCAGGAAAAGCCCCAGATAAGGGAAGCCAGGAACCCTAGGTAGATGCAGTCCCACCTGATGGAGCCCCAGTTAAGTGGAGTGGTGGTGAAGGCTCATGTGGGTGGAGTCCCACAGGGTGGACACAGCCCCAGGTGGGTGGATCCCCAGGTGATGGAGCCCCCAGGTGGGTGGAGCTCCAGGTGGGTGGAGCCCCAGGTGGGGGATTCCAGATGGGTAGATCCCCAGGTGGGTGGAGCCCCAAGTGGGTGGAGCCCCAGGTGGGTGGAGCCCCAGGTGGTGGAGTCCCACATGCTGGAGCCCCAGATGGTGGAACCAACCTGAGCCCACGGCCTCTCCCTCTGCACTTTATGAAATCGGGAGAACCAAGCTGATTGTCCTTTGAGAAATGCCACATTCATGCTTCCTGGCTGAGTCAACACGGCTCTTCTCGATGGCTTTTCCTCCCTGAGTAGCCTTTCCTGATTGTTTGCCCTCACAGAATGTGGTACGCATGCCTGGCCTTGAGTACGGGCTCAAGGGTCACCTGGGTTTGTCCTTTTTGAAGTTCTTGTGCTGAGGTTCCATGCGGCTCTAGAGCGTCTCCGTGTTTCTGGGGCAGCTGGGTTGGGCCCCTGTGAGCTTCAAGGCAGGATTTCTGGACTGCACAAGGCTGAGCTTTCTCCTGCAGCCGTGCCGCGTCTTGGTCTCCTTGGGCCTTCCTGAGTTCTCTGCCTGAGTGGCAGCTGGTTTGTCCTGATTTTCTTAAGGGGCGAGGAGAGTGGGGTTCTTTGGTGCGTTTCAGGCGGTGCTCCGGGGACCCCGCAAGCCCCAGTGCGCCCCGGAAACCACTGGCCAGGCCGGCACAGCCGGGCGTCTGTTCTCTTCTTACTGTGTCCCTCTCTCAGGGATCCCAGAGCTGCCATCTCAGTTATTGTTTGGCAAAGTTTTCCATAATGCTGCACGCAAATCCAAACCGCATTAATATTATGACAAATAAAAAAATACAGATTTCCAGCAGAAGTCCACATGGAGCACTAATGCAAACAGGTCAGTTTAGAGCCTAAAAGTTAAAGCATGGACGTTCTTGGGTGAACAGGGGAGAATGAGAATCCGAATGGCAGGCCCAACTGGAGAATTGACATGAGAGTCAGTGTAGCTCTTATTTCCCAGTGCCAGAGGCCCGCCCGCCCTCCCTCCCTCCCTCCCTCCCTCCCTGCTTCCTTCCTTCCCTCCCTCCCTCCCTCCCTGCTTCCTTCCTTCTTTCCTTCCTTCCTTCCCTCCCTCCCTCCCTGCTTCCTTCCTTCCCTCCCTCCCTCCCTGCTTCCTTCCTTCCCTCCCTCCCTCCCTGCTTCCTTCCTTCCCTCCCTCCCTCCCTGCTTCCTTCCTTCCTTCCTTCCTTCCTTCCTTCCTTCCTCCCTCTCTCCCTCTTCCCACCCTCACCCTGAATTATCAGGTTGGGGAGAGCCTTGGGTGACTGGTTTTAATGAATAAGAGGGAATGATTGGAAATTAGCATACTATTGACTTGCATGCAAATAGGTACTTCTGAAGTGATTGTGAAATTTATTCTTTTAAACATTTTTAAACCCTCTCTTACAATCTGATTTTTTTACAGTAAATTCTGACTTACAACAATAAAAATGTGGCATTTTTTGCACCCCTTTTTGGTGACACTTGTGAAGGAAAAATTTGAACCTCACCTAGGTTCAGTGTTCTTTAATAAAAAATTGAGAAGACTGATTTAACTTAAAAATATTTATAAAGTATTTTTGCTTCTGATCACATAAATAATACATATATAGCATAGAAATGTGGAAAATAAAGAAAAATAGAAAGATGAATCTAAAATCACCGGTATTGTAACTCTTCCTCTCTTTACATATGTACGTGTATATAATTTTTTAGTAAAAATGTATGTATTTTGAACTGATTGTTCTATAATCTGCTTTTTTAACATTAGCAATATACTGAGAACTTTTTCTCAGGCTACTAAATATTCTTTGAAAAATTTTTTACGTTAATTGTATATAGATAGGTAGTGTAATACTTTATTTTACTATGCCCCACTTTTATACATTTGTTTCTGATCATTTGATATTATAAACAGATGTTCATCCTTACAGATACACCTTGTGGACATCTATGATTGTTTCTAAGGGTGAAAGGCCAAAAAGCGGAATTGTTGTGTGGGAGGGCACAGAGGGCATGTACAGACACAGTATAAGGCTCTTCATACATAATCCCACACAACCCTCCAGAAAGATCATACCAGGGTCGACTCCTGCCAGCCTTGTGTGTCTTTACAAAATGGAAACTTTATACCTATTAAATTCAAACTCCTCATTCCTCCCTACCCCTAACTCCTGACAACCAATATTCTGCTTTCTGTCTCTATGAATTTGCCTATTGTAGGTACCTCATATAAGTGGAATCATACAGTATTGTCCTTTTGCATCTGGCTTATTTCACTTAGCCTAAGGTACTCATGGTTCATCCATGTTGTAGCATGTGTCAGAATTTCCTTCCTTTTTAAGGCTGACTTATGGGCATACATCATTTTGCTAACCCATTCATCTGTTGATAGACACATGGTTTTCTTCTATGTTTTAGCTATTGGGAATAATGCTGCCATAAATTTGGGTGTACTATTTCTTTGAGACCCTGCTTTCAGTTCTTTTGGGTGTATACTCAGAAGTGGAATTACTGGATCATATGGTAATTCTATAATTTTTTTTCTGAGAACCTGCCATACTACTTCCCACAGTGGCAGCACTGTTTTACGTTGCCACCAACAGTGCACAAGAGTGCCAACTTCTCTGCATCCTTGCCAACACTTATTTTCTGTTTTTTGACAGTAGCCGTCCTGATGGGTGTAAGGTGGTATCTGACTGTAAATTTGATTTTCATTTCCCTGATGATTAGTGATGCTGAGCATCTTTTTTTATGCTTCTTGGTCATTTGTCCGTCTTCTTTGGAGAAATGCCTATTGAAGTCCTTTGCCCATTTTGAATCCAGTTGTTTGGGTTGTTTTTTTGTTTTTGTTTTTGTTTTTTTGGTGTTGATTCAGAGGGTCATTTTTAGAGGCTCCCATGATTCCCATTCTCTAATCCTCCACTCCCATCTCTTCCTTAGGGTCTGGCAAACTGGCCATCTTACCCCCATGGGACATTTATGTCAAATTTAAACAAAGTAGGAATATGACTCACAATAGGTCACTTTCCTCATTCACATATTGGGTCCCACATAAGAATAGCTGTGCACCGTCAAACATACTAAGATGGGAACTTCCAGAGTAGATAAATTAGGAGGTGAACACTTAGATTACCAAAAAATTCTGGCCTTGCTAGATAATGATTTTCAGGAAGAACAGCTACAGATCAAGCATTTTAAGATCAAACTCATTATCTACAGCAGATTTGTCCAAACTTTAATCTGGTTTCTAATACTAGATAGCAAGTCACCAAAGGCATGCATTTTGTAGAATTTTAATCTGGAAGGGCTCACCAGGTAACTCCATCACTCAAAGCCAATCATTCTTTAGGCTCTCTATTAAAATTCTTTTAAGTGGGAGATGAGTATTACTTAAAGTTTTCTCCAAGTTAAAATGACTGCATTCTGAAGGCATAGAATGTCTATATCCTAATGTTTAGACATATAACTTTTTTTTTCCTAGGCAAAAATTGTACTTGAAAGCTATAAATACTGTGAGCAGAGGTGCTTTTGTTGAAGCAAGGCTGAGGGAGCCTGTGTCCTGGCCCTGGGTTTCCTTTCCCCCTTCCCTCCAAGTCCACACAGCTCAGGCAGCAGCCCTGAGGGTTCTGGAGCACAACTTGAAGACCACAGGGGAGAGGGGGTGATGGGGACATTTAGTGCAGTCTGGTTACCACTTCAAGGCAAGCAGAAAGTCGGCACGGCTGGGCTTAGACTGGGTTTTGGGAAGAGAGGTTAGCCTGGAAGAGGAGAGGAGAGGCTGTTACTCTGAGGCATAGAGCCAATGGAATCCAGAGACAGTGTCATGGGCTAAGATTTGGAAACTAAAAGAGGGAGTAAGGAGGAAGAACCAACTCCGAGGCAAAGGCCCTGCCTGCCATGGTGCCCAGGTGGTTCTGAGCAAGCAGGCTCAGGATGGGGTTCTGGGTGAAGCCATAGGGGCCAAGCACCAGGGAGCAGGACGTTTCTACAAGATGCCCCCAGACACAGCCATGGCAGTGGACAGAGTTTTTTTGCAACTGTTGGTTCTGAAAGTCTGTGTGTGGCCACTACGCCCTGTGCACGGCCATCATGCACAATTGGGCAGGTTGTGCACTGCACAATATCTCCCAGGCAAGGGATTTGGGTTGGAGCGAAATTCAGTTGCCAAGCCCTCACCCTGGAGCAGAGCTGCATCCGCCACGAGGAAGGGGTGTCCTTTCTAATTTACACAAAGGCACTTCATGAGTTTGCAGTGGCCCTGAGTGCATGCAGTTATTTGCTGGCTAGTGTTCTGGAATTCTAGTCCTCTGCTCAAAGGATCTCAACCAGCTCAGATGTTGGCTGTCAGTGCAATGGCTCTTCAGCGGCACTGTAACACAGCTGCACTATAGTTACTTGTCTTTGTCTCATTATTCATTCATTCATTTCAATGAATATTTATTTAGCTCTTACTATGTGCCAATCACTGTTCTACATGTTTGGGTCACATCAGAGAATGAAGTAGACTAGGGGACAGTTAAGACAATAAACAATAAACATAAATAAATTTTCTAGTATGTTGGAAGGTGATAAGCGTTAGGGAACAACGAGAAAGGAGTAAGCAGATCAGAAGTTCTGGAATGGGGGAGCAGGTTGCAGTATTAAATAGAAATGTCAGGGGAAAGCCTCATTGATAAGGTACAATCTGAGCAAAGACTTGAAGGAACTTGCAGAGCCTAGAAACAGCATTTTTGGTGGAGTCCTGATTCCTTTTTATTGGAGACTGGTATTTAGAAACAAGATCAGGCACTAAATGTGCTTGTTGCTTTCTTACTTGTGTGTCTTTTTAGCGGGACAGATCTTGGAATTATACATATGTATACTCCGCCATGCAAACACAAACATCAATATTTATTTAAAAACTGAGTTGGATAATGATACTTCTGACTCCGGTTCACACCCCAGAGTTTTTTTTCTAACTTTCCTCTTTCCTTGTTTCTAATACCTTTTTCTAACACTGAGTGACTTAATAAAATGAAAATATCACGGTTTGTTTGTTCAACCCTGGTATGCATATAAAGCAGTGTCAGAATTGCTAACCTATGCCCTTGTGAGAAACTAATTTATTAATTAAAACACAGAATTTGTGCAGTTGTTTTTGTCTTCAGTTTCACAATATATATTCAAAATGATGCTTCCCAAAGTAACTCTTTCCCACTGTCCTCAGTGTGTTGCTTTTATTCATTTGTAATATAGTTAAATTCATTTATTACAATTTGTATTCCATTTTGGGTTTCTCCCATATTGTGGTTGATTTCTTTTAAGTTTACACTCAGTAAAAATCACTCTTTGTGGTGTACAGTTTTATGGGTTTTGACAAATGGATAGAGTCGCATATCCACCCTGCATCATGACTTAGAATGGTTCTGCCACTCACAAAATCCACTTCTATTGCCGGCTTTGTAGTTAAAGCTACCCTCTCCCCACGCCTGGCCTCTGGAGCCCTCTGATTTGTTTTCCATCCATATAGTTTTGCCTTCTCCAGATGGTCACATTAATGGAATACAGTAATATAACACGTAACCTTTGGTTCTGGCTTCTTTCACTTAGCAAAATTCATTTACAATTCATCCGTTGTGCTGTGTGTATTAGTAGTTTCTTCCTTTTTATTTTTGAGTAGTATTCCATTCAATGGATTTACCACAGCTTCCTAAATCATTCATTGGTAGAAAGACATGTGGATGGTTTCCAGTTTTGATGGTTATAAATAAAGCTGCTATAAAAAATGCATACAGGTTTTTGTGAACCTGTGTTTTCATTTCTCAAGGGTTAATATATATTTACCTTTATTAGATGCAGCCAAACTACTTTCTAGAGTGGCTTTAACATTTTCCATTTCTACCAACAATATGTGAGAGATCTGTTTTATATCCTCATCAGTACTTGGTACTGCTTGTATTTTTATTTTAATCATTTTAATAAGAGTGTAATACTTCATTGAGTTTCTTTTTGAGATGGGATGGTGTTATGTTGCCCAGGCTTCCTGGGCTCAGGTGACCTTCCTGCCTCCTGCCTCAGCCGCTTCAGCACATGCCACCATGCTGGCTTTCACTGAGGCTTTAATCTGCCTGTCCCTAATGACTACTGATGTTGGACATTTCTTCAAATGCTCATTTGACACTTTCTTTGGTGAAGTGCTCTTTAGATCTTGTCCGTTTTCATATGGGGTTGTTTTATCTTATTATTTTTGAGCTAAAAGAGTTTCTTATTTATGTAGAATTCAAGTCGTTTGTCAGATATGTGGTGTGTAAACATTTTCACCCAGTCTGTAGCTTGTCTTTTCATTTTATTGATGGTGCTTTATGAAAAGCAAAAGTTTTTAATTTTGATAGAGTCCATTTATTAATGTTTAATTTATAGGTGGTGTTTTTGGTATCATATCTAAAAAATATTTGCCTAACTCAAGATCATAAAGATTTACTACTATGTTTTTCTCTTACGATTTGTAGTTCTAGCCTTTATATTTCTGTCTGTGATACATTTTGAGTTAATATTTGTGTATGAGTTGTGAGACAAGGGGCTAAGTTCGTGAGTGTGAGTGTGTGTGGTTGTCTGTGAGATATGAACATTCAGTTGTCAGGGAAGCATGAGAAAACAGTGGAAACAGGAAGCATGAAAAACTTTGAAAAAACTACACTTTTCCCATTGCTGAATCACCTTGACAACATGGTAAAAAAAAATGGACCATAAATTTAAAGGTTTATTTCTGTACTGTATTCTGTATCTCTGCACCCACACTACCATGTCCTGATCATTGAAGTTCTGTAGTTAGTTTTCAAATCAAGCAGGTGTAAATACCCTGACTTTTTTCTTGTTTCTTTTAGAAATTGTCTTGGGTATTCTGGGCCCTTTACACTTCTATATGAATTTTAAGATGAGCCTGTCAATTTTTATTTAAAAAAGCCAGCTGTTTTTTTATAACTGATAAATAAAAGTCATATATATTTATTGTGTACAACATGATGTTTTAAAATATGTGTACGTTGTGAACAGCTCAATTGAGCTAATTAATATATACATTACCTCATATGCTTATCTTTTTGTGGTGAGAACACTTAAAATCTACTCTTAGCAATTTTTAAGAATATAATACATTGGTGTATGCTATAATCACCATGTTGTACAGTAGATCTCTTGAGCTTATTCCTTCTATTATCTAATTGAATTTTTTTACCTTTTGACCAGCAGCTTTCCTCCTCATCCCCCAGCCTCTGGTAACCACCATTCTACTCTCTATTCTATGCATTCAACTTTTTAAGATTCCATATATGAGTGAGATCATGCAGTATTTGTCTTTCTGTGTCTGGATTATTTCGCTTAACATAATGTCCTCCAGGTTCATCCATGCTATTGTAACTGGCACTCTTTCCTTCTTTTTTTAAGGCCGAGTAATATTCCACTGTGTATATATACCACATTTTCTTTATCTATTTATCTGTGGATGGAAACTTAGGTTGATTTCATATCTTGGCTATTGTGAATAATGCTGCAATAAACATTCGAGAGCAGACAGCTCTTCAATACGTATATCTCATTTCCTTTGGATATATATTCAGTAGTGGGATTGCTGGATCATACAGTAGTTTTAGATTTAATTTTTGGGGAAATAGCCATACCGTTTTCCATAATGACTGTAGTAATTTACATTCCCAACAATAGTGTGCAAAGATTCCCATTTCTCCACGTCCTCACCAACATTTATCTTTCATCTTTTTGATAATAGTCATTCTAACAGGTGTGAGGTCTCATTGTGGTCTTAGTTTGCATTTCTCTTGATGTTCAGTCCTAGTGAACATTTTTTTCATATACTTTTTGGCCATTTGTATGTCTTCTTTTGAGAAATGGCTATTTAGGTCTTTTGTCCATCTTTAAAATCAGGTTATTTGTTTTTTAGCTATTAAGCTGAGTTCCTTATATATTTTGGATATTAATCTCTTATCAGATGTATGATTTACAAATATTTTCTCCCATCCTGTAGGTTGTCTCTTCACTCTTGATTGTTTCCTTTGCTGTGAAGGATATTTTTTAGTTTGCTGTAATCCTATTTGTCTATTTTTGCTTTTGTTCCTTGTGCTATTGGCCTAATTTCTTTCTTTGCATGTGAATATCCAGTTTTCCAATATCATTTATTGAAGAAATTGTTCTTTCCTCATTGTTCTTGATACTTTGTCAAAAATCAATTAACTGTAAATGCATGAATTTATTTCTGGGCTCTCTATCCTGTTCCATTGGTTCGTGCCTGTTTTTATGCCAATACTATGATGTTTTGATTACTATAGCTTTGTAGTACATTTTAAAGTTGAACAATATGATGCCTTCAGAATTATTATTATTTTTTTTCCTCAAGATTGTTTTGGCTATTCTGGGTCTTTTGTGGCTCCAAATTTTAGGATTGTTTTTACTATTTCTGTGAAAAATGTCAATGGAATTTTGATAGGTTTTGCATTGAATCTATAGCTCACTTTGAGTAGTATAAATATTTTAACAGTATTAATTAATCTAAACCATCAGCATGGGATATCATGTCATTTACTTGTGTCTTCTTCATTTTCTTTCATCAGTGTTTTATAGTTTTCACTGTAGAGGTCTTTCACCTTTCCAGTTAAATTTATTCCTAAGTATTTTTTTGGTAACTATTGTAAATGAGATTGTTTTCTTGATTTCTTTTTCAAATACTTCACTGTTAGTGCATAGAAATGTTAGTGATTTTTGTATGTTGATTGTGTATCTTGCAACTTTATCCAGCTGTGGTTTTGACAGATTCCATTGAATCTCTACCTCAACTTAGAGAGTGTTGCTATCTTAATAATATTGAGTCTTCCAGCCCAATAAATGAAATGTCTCTTCATTTATTTTCATGTTCCTTAATTTCTCTTAGCAGTGTTTAATCTTTCAACTTACACTTCTTTGTTAATGTACTCTCTAAATATTTTATCCTTCTTGATGCTATTGTAAATGGCATTGTTTTCTTAATCTCATTTTTGTATAGTTTGTGGTTAGGATATAGAGATACATTTGACTTTTTGATCTTGTAGGCTGCAATCTTGCTAAACTTTTAGTCCATTTTGCTGTTACTATAACAGAATACCACAGACTAGGTAATTTATAAACAATAGAAGTTTATTTGGCTCATGGATTCTGGAGGCTGGGAAGTCTGAGATCAAGGGGATGCATCTAGTCAGGACCTTGTTGCTGTGTCATCCCATGGTGGAAGGTGGAAGGCAACAAGAGCATGTGCAAAAGAACAAGAGGGTGCTGAACTCACTTTATAACAAACCTACTTTTGAGATAACCAATCTACTCCCATGATAATGACATTAATCCGTTCATGAGGGCAGAGCCCTCTTAGTAGGCCCTAACTCCCCATACTGTTGCATTGGGGGTTCAGTTTCCAATACATGAACTTTGGGGGACACATTCAAACCATAGCAACTTGCTTTTCAGTTCTAATTGGCTTTTATTATTTTTGCAGATTCATTAAGATTTTATACATACAAGATCATGTCATATATGAATAAAGTTTTACTTTTTCCTTTCTAATCTACGTGCCTTTGAATTATTTTTGCCTTATTGCACTGACCAGAACCTACAGTAAAATGTGGAATAGAAGAGGTGAGACAACTTTTTTTCCTGTTCCAGATCTTATGGGGGATAGCATTCAGTCTTTCCTCATTAAGTATTATGTTAGCTGTAGGACTTTCCCACAGATGCATTTATAAGACTGAGGAAATTCTCGGCTGGGTGTGGTGGCTCACGCCTGTAATCCCAGCACTTTGGGAGGCCGAGGCGGGTGGATCACCCCAGGTCAGGAGTTCAAGACCAGCCTGGGCAACATGGTGAAACCCTGTCTCCACTAAAAATACAAAAATTAGCCGGGAGTAGTGGTGCACGCCTGTAATGCCAGCTACTTGAAAAGCTGAGGCAGGAGAATTGCTTGAGCCTGGGAGGCGGAGGTTGCAGTGGGCCAAGATTGTGCCACTGCACTCCAGCCTGGGTGACAGACAGAGATTCCATCTCGAAAAAAAAAAAGAAAATTTTCTTTTCTTTTTTTTTCTTTCGAAAATTTTTTTTCTTTCAAAAAAAAAGATTGAGGAAATTCTCATCTATCCCTATTAAGAGTTTTTATCATGAGTGGGAATTGGACTTCATCAAATGCTTTATCTATGTCTACTGGCAAAAATAATCTTGTTTTGTCCTTTATTCTACTATCATAATGTATCATATCAATTTTTGGATCTTAAATCAACCTTGCATTTGTGGGCTAAATTTCTTGGCCATGGTGTATACTCCTTTTCAGATGTTGGTAGATTTGGTCTGCTAATATTTTGTTAAGAATTTTTGTGTCTATGTAACTGTTGGTCTCTAATTATCTTTGCTTATGATATCTTTATCTTGTTTTAGTATCACGGTAATATTGGCCTTACATAATGGATTGGATAAGGTTTTTCTCTCTGTTTCCCAAGAGAGTTTGCATATGATTGTCATTATTTCCTATTTAAATATTTGATAAGATTCACCAGTGAAGCCATTTTGGGGCTGGGTTTTTCTTTGTGGGAAGGTTTTTTATTATAAATTTAATTTATTCACCTTTTATAACTGTATTTAGATTTTCTACTTCTTGAGTCAGTTTTGGTGTTTGGAGTGTTTCCAGGAATTTGTCCATTTCATCTAAATTGTCCAATTTGTTGGCAAAAGTTATACATCTTATTTCCTTATAAGCATTTACATTTCTATAGGATCACTTGTGATGCTTCCGCTTTCATTCCTGATAGTGGCCCTTTAGGTCTTCTTTCATTTTTTTCTTGCTTAATCTAGCTAATATTTTTTAGTTGATTATTTTAATTTACTGTTGACTTTTTTCTTTTTTAGATTAAGATATAATTCACATACTATGCAATTTTTCTTTTAAAATATACAATTCAGTGGTTTTTAGTATATTCACAAAGTTGTGCAACCATTACAACTATCTAATTACAGAACATTTTCATCACCACACATACACACACACACACATACACACACACACATACACACACACACACATATACACACACACACACACATACACACACACCAAAGGCCAAAACAATTCTGTATTTATTAGCAGTTACTTTCCGCTTCCCTTTCTCCTAATCCCTGGCAATCAGTAAGTTACTTTCTGTCTCTATATAGTTTGCCTATTCTGGACATTTAATATTAACGAAATCATATGATATGTGGCCTTTTGTGCCTAGCTTATTTCACTTAGCATAATACATTCAAGATTTACTCATTTGTAGCATGTATCAGTGTCTCATTCTTTTTGTGGATAAATAATATTCTATTTTACGTCTATATCATTTTGTTTATCCATTCATATCTTAATGGACATTTGGGTTGCTTTCACCTTTCAGTTATTATAAATAATGGTACTATGAACATTCACATACAAGTTCTTGTGTGGACATATTTTTAATTGTCTTGGGTGTATACCTAGAATTGCTGGGTCATATGGTAACTGTGTTTCACTTTTTGAGGAACTGCTAAACTGTTTTCCAAAGAGGCTCCACCATGTTACATTCCCATCAGCTATGTATGGGGATTCTTGTTTCTCCACATTATCTTCAACATTTGTTATTGTCTATTTTTTTGATCATAGCCATCCTAGTGGGTGTGAAGTGATATCTCACTGTGCTTTTGGGTTGTATTTTCCTAATGACTAGTGATGTTAAACATCTTTTCATATGTTTATTAGCCTTATATATTTTTTTTTTGAGAAATGTAGATCTCAATCCTTCGCCCCTTTTAAAATTGGCTTATTTATCTTACCTTTTTATTGTTGAGTTTTAAGTCTCTATGTTTGTATATGTTTTTATGTATCTGGATATGGTCTGTTATCAGATACATGATTTGTAAATAGTTCCTAATATTCTGTGGGTTGTGTCTTCCCTTTTTAGTAGTGTCCTTTGCAACACAAAAGCTTTTCATTTTGATGAAGTCCAACTTATCTATTTTTTTTGGTTGCTTATGCTTTTGGTGTCATAAGATTTACTCCTATGCATTCTTCTGAAAGTTTTACAGTTTTAAGCTTTACATTTAGATCTTTAATCCTTTTTGAGTTAATTTGTTGCATATGGTGTGAGGTAGGGTTATAACTTCATTATTGTGCATGTGGGTATCCATTTGTCCAATTACCATTTGCTGAAAAGACAATTATTTCCTCATTGAATGTTTTTGGTGCCCTTGTTGAAAATAAATTGACCACAGATATGACTGTTTATTTCTGGGTTCTCAATTTTATTCCATTGATTTATGTGTCTATTTTTATGCCAGTACCAGAGTCATGATTACTGTAGTTTAACTTTTGAAATCTAGAAGTATGTCATCATAGCTTTTATTTATTTCTGGCTCTTCTGGGTCCCTTGCGTTTCCATATGAATTTTTTTTGATCAGCTCATCAGTCTCAACCAAAAAAAAAAAAAGCACTTGGGATTTTGACATAGATTTCTTTGAATCTGCAGATCAATTTGGGGAGTCTTGCCATTTTAACAACATTAAATCTTCCAATCCATGAACATGGGATATGTTTCTGTTTATGTCTTCTTTAATTTTATTCTTCAGTGATGTTTTGTAGTTTGCAGTACACAAGTCTTACAGTTTTTTTTTGTGAAATTTATTTCTAAGTAGTTTATTGTTTTTGATGCATTTTAAGTGGAATTATTTTCTTAATTTTTATTTCAGATTATTTGTTGCTAGTGCATAGAAATACACTTGATTTTTGTATACTGATCTTTTGTCCTGCAACTTTTCTAAAATTTGTTATATGTATATGTGTGTGTGTGTGTGTGTGTGTGTATAGTGGATTTATTAGGATTTTCTATACAAAAAATCATGTTATCTGGAAACAGAGATAGTTTCACTTCTTTTTTTCAATGTTAATGTGTTTTATTTTGTTATCTTCCCTAACTGCCCTGGCTAGAACCTTCAGTAAAATGTTGCATAGAAGTGGTAAGAGCAGACATTTTGTTCCTGGTCTTAGAATGAAAGATTTTTACCTTCTACCATTAAGAATGGTGTTAGCCTTGGGACTTTTGTAGATGTCTTTGATCACATAGAGAAATTTACCTTCTAGTCTTAGTTTGTTGCATAGTTTTCTTTTTATGAAAATATTTTGGATTTTGTCTTTTGTTGCATCTCTTGAAAAGATTACATGGTGTTTGTTTTTCATTTTTTAAATATGGTTTGGGCTGGGCATGGTGCTCACACCTGTAATCTTAGCACTTTGGGAGGCTGAGGCAAGCAGATTGCTTGAGCTCAGGAGTTCAAGACCAGCCTGGGGGACATGGTGAGAACCTGTCTCTACCAAAAATGCAGAAATTAGCTAGGTGTGGTGGCACATGCTTGTAGTCTCATCTACTTGAGGGGCTGAGGCAGGAGGATGGCTTGAACCTGGGAGGTTGAAGCTGGAGTGAGCAGAGATTGTGCTGCTGCACTCCAGCCTGGGTGACAGAGGAAGACTCCATCTAAAAATAAATACACAAATAAATAATAAATAAATAATTTGTCCATGAATTGATTTTATATGTAACTAATCTTGTATTCCTGGGATAAATATCACTTGGTTATGATATGTAATCCTTTATATGTTACTAGATTCGGTTTGCTAGTTTTTTATTGAGGCATTTTATATCTATATTCATAAGAAGTATTGATATGTAGTTTTTTATTCCTTGTAATGTCTTTGTCTAGTTTTGGCATCCAGGTAATACTGGCCTAATGAAATGAGTTGAGAAGTGTTCCTGTCTCTTTTATTGTTTTTTGCAAGAGTTTTTGAAGGATTGGTGTAAATTCTTTCTGAAATTTTAAGTAGAGTTCAGCAGTGAAACCATCTGGTCTTGAACTTCCATTGTGGGAAATTTTTGATTACCCACTCAATCTCTTTATTAATTATGGATTTATTCAGGTTTTCTACTTCTTGAGTCAGTTTTGGAAGTTTGCATTTTTCTTGGAATTTTCTTATTTTATATATGTTATCTACTTACTATTGTATAATTGCTCATATTATTCTCTTAAATTATTTTTATTTCTGTAAAGTTGATAGCAGTGTTCTCTCTTTTGAATTACTAAAATCACTGCTAAATGAATTACAAAATCATTCCTGATTTTAGTAATTGAGTCTTCTTTATTTGTTGGTCAGTTTAATGTAAAGATTTGTCAGTTTTGTTGATCTTTTCAAAAAACCAACCTTTGTTGTCCTTGATTTTCTTTATGTGTCTCTATTTTTATTTAATTAGTGCTTTATTAATCAAGGTTCTAATCTTTAATATTTTCTTCCTTCTGTTTGCTTTTGTTTTTTCTCTTTTTAGTTTCTTAAGATATTCATTTGAGATCCTTCCTTTTCAATGTAAGCTTTTACAGCTATAAATTTCCCTCTGCATGCTGTTTCACTGCATCCTGTAAGTGTTGGTATATTGTTTTTGTTGTTCATCTCAAAGTGTTTTCTAATTTCTCTTGTGATTCTTCTTTGACTCATCAGTTGTTTAGGACTGTATTATTTAGTTTCCACTATTTGTAATTTTTCTAGATTTTCTTCAGTTATTTATTTCTAATTTTCATTCCATTGTGTTCAGAGAACATACATTAAATGATTTCAATCCTTTTAAATTTATTGAGACTTGTTTTGTAGACTAGCTTATTATCTAGCCTGGAGAATGTTCTACATGCACTTGAGAATAATTCATATTTTGCTGTTGTGGAGTTTTCTAAGTTGAGCAAAGTTTCCAACTATTAATTTTAAACTGTATATTTTTCCTTCAATTCTGTCAGTTTTTAACCTCGTGTATTTTTAGGTTCTGTTGTAATGTGTACATGTTTATGATTGTTATCTCTTCATAAATGGATTGACCCCTTTATTGTTATAAAGTGTCTTTTTTTGCCCATAAAATTTTTGTCTTCTAGTCCATTTTGTGTAATACTAGTATAACCACTCCATCTCTTTTTCTGTTATTGTTTGCATGGTATATATTTTCCTATCCTTTGACCTTCAACCTATTTATTTCTTTGAATCTAAACTGTGTCTTTTTTAAAAAAATTAAAAATTTTTAAAAATTTTAATATACAGTTGGGGTCTTGCCTGTGCTGGTCTCAAACTCCCAGCATCAAGTGATCCTCCTGACTCAGCCTCTCAAAGTGATAGGATTACATGTGTGAGCCACAGTGCCTGGTCTTAAAGTGTATCTCTCTGTCTTGTTTGAATTTCTTATTTTAAATTTCCAATACTGTAAATATCAGTGTAAATCAAAGCCCTTTTTTTTCCCAGATGAAAAGCCTTGAGAACCACTGATGTGGTTATTTACAAATCTATTCACAGGGTATTTTTGTTTTGTTTTGTTCTTGTTTTGTTTTTTGAAATATAGTCTCACTCACTCTGTTACCCAGGCTGGAGTGCAGTAATTTTGGCTCACTGCAACATCCACCTCCTGGGTTCAAGTGATTCTCCTGCTTCAGCCTCCTGAGCAGCTGGGATTCCAGGCATGCACCACAATGCCTGGCTAATTTTTTTTTTTTTTTTGTATTTTTATTTGACATGAGGTTTTGCCATGTTGGCCAGGCTGGTCTCAAACTTCTGGTCTCAAGTGATCTGCCGACTTTGGTCTCCCAAAGTGCTAGGATTACATGTGTGAGCCACTGTGCCTGGCCTGTTTTTTTTGTTTGTTTGTTTGTTTTCATAGCTTTTGGGGTGTGAGTAGTTTTTAGTTACATGGATGAATTGTGCAGTGGTGAAGTCTGAGATTTTAGTGAACCCATCACCTAAGCAGTGTACAGTATAACCAACATGTAGTTTTTATCTTTTGTCCCTCTCCCAACCTCCCCTTTTTTTGTCCCCATGGTTCATTTTATCATTCTGAATGTCTTTGCATACCCATAGCTTAGCTCCCACTTATAAGTAAGAACATACAGTATTTGGTTTCCCATTCCTGAGTTATGTCACTCAGAATAATGGTCACCAGCCCCATCCAAGCTGCTGCAAAATACATTATTTTGTTCTTTTTTATGGCTCAGTAGTATTCCATGGCGTATATATATATACCATGTTTTCTTTATCTACTCATTGGTTGATGGACACTTAGGTTGGTTTCATATCTTTGCAATTGTAAATTGTGCTACAATAAACATACATGTGAAGATGTGTTTTTGATATAATGACTTCTTTTCCTTTAGGTAGATACCCAATCATGGGATTGCTGGATTGAATGGTAGATCTACTTTTAGTTCTTTAAGAAATCACCATACTGTTTTCCATACAGGTTGTACTAATTTACATTCCCACTAGCAGTGTGTAAGCATTCCCTTTTCACCACATCCATGCCAACATCTATTGTTTTTTGACTTTTTAATAATAGCTATTCTTACAGGGGTAAAGTGGTATATTACTGTGGTTTTAATTTGCATTTATATGTTGGTTGACCATTTGTATGTCTTTTTTTTGAGAAATGTGGGTTCATATCATTTGCCCACTTTTTGTTGGGATTATGTTTTTGTTCTTGTTGAATTGTTTGAATTCCTTGTTGATTCTGGATATTAGTCATCTTTCGGATGCATAGTTTGCAAATATTTTCTCCCATTTGGTGTGTTGTTTGTTTACTCTGATGATTTTTTTTTTCTGTACAGAAGCTTTCTAATTTAATTAGGTCTCATTTATTTATTTTTGTTTTAGTTGAATTTGCTTTTGGGGTCTTAGTCATAAATTCTTTGCCTAGGCCAATGTCCAGAAGAATTTTTCCTGGGTTACTCTCTAGAATTTTTATGGTTTCAGGTCTTAGATTTAAGTTAAACTGTGTCCCTTTAGACAACATATGGTTGGATGATTTTTTAGAAGTACATACTATTAGTCTCTGCCTTTTGATTAGGGTATTTAAAACATCTACATTTCATCTAATTGCTGATTAGGTATGATTTATATCTGCCATGTTTCCATTTGTTTTCTCTCTGTCTTATGTCATTTTTATTTCTCTACGCCTTTGTTACTGCCTTCTTTTGTGTTAAACAGATATTTTCTTGTCTACTATTTTAACTCTCTTGTCATTTACTCTACTATATATTTTATGATTTATTTTCTTAATGGTTGCCTAAGGGGTCACAATTAACATCTTGATTTATGAAAATCTATTTTGGATTAACATACATTTAAGTTCAATAGTGTAAAAAGCTTTATTCCTATGTAGTTCCATTCCCTGTCACCTTTTTCATGCTGTTATTGTCCCATGATTACTTCTTTATTCATTGCATGCCCATCAACACAAACTTGTAATTATCACTGAAATTTGAGTCCCCATCTCATATTTAATGGGAAGTTAACATTTATTAGGTACATTTACTTACACTGTAATACAGGAATTAGGTCCATTTGCCAGAATATAAAATTGTGCATTTCCTTACTATTTCTGGGTTCTAACTTGATACTTTCTTAAAATTGTAAATTATATAGTACTCAGCTAAAATATCTCTTCATAAATTCCAATAAAACCTGCCAAAACACAAAGGAGAAAATACTTTTCATTAAAAAAAGACACTTGAATGTCACACAACACAAGAAACGGTGCTTAGAGACATGTTATTGTTTTCAGAAGAAAATTGTCAATAAACTACTTAGCTGAAGACAAAAGACTACTCTTCCCCATGATCATAGTGCCAAAAAAGTAAAATGTCAATTGTTTTTTAAATAAGATGAGAGAAGGAAAGTGTTACAAACAAAAAATATATTTTTGCTGTCTTTTGTGTTTAAATCAATGTAGTTACCTTTACCAGTGCTCTTTATTTCTTTATATAGATTAACATTACTGTCTGGTGTCCTTTCATTTCAGCCTGAAGGACAAATTTCTTGTTGAACAGGTCAGCTGGTGATTAATTTACTCAGTTTTTGTTTATCTGGCAATATCTTAAGTTCTCCCAAATTTTGAGGGACAGTTTTTCTGGATATAGAATTTTTAGTTGAAAGCCTTATTTTTTCTTTAGAATTTGAATATGTCATCCCACTGATTTCCAACTTCCATGGTTTCTAATCAGAAGTTAAGTATTAATTTCATAGAGGATGCCTTGAACGTGATTATTCCAGTCATTTCTCTTTGGCTGTTCAAAATTTTTCCTTTGTCTTTCAGAGATTTGGTTATTATGTGTGGTGGTATCGTAAAATATGTATTTGGTCTTCATCCCTGCTTTCTGGCATAAAACTCCTAAAATCCTTCGAATTTCCAAAGTGCTATATTTTTGCATGCTAATGTTGACTAATAAGGGAAGACAAAGGCATCATTAGAGGATTGGAACTTTCAGCCTCACACCCTAACCTCTGAGTAAGGTAGAGAGGCTGAGAATCAAATTGATCTCAATGGTTTAATCAATCATGCCTATGTAATGAAGCCTCTGTAAAAACCCAAGAGGACTGAGTTTGGAGAGCTTCTGGGTAGCTAAACATATGGAGGTTCCTGCAGAGTGGTGTGCCTGGGCAGGGCCTGGAAGTTCCATGCCCCTTCTCTTATGCCTTGCCCTATGCATTTCTTCATCTGTATCCTTTGTAATAGTCTTTATAATACATCAGCAAACATAAGTGTTTCCCAGAATTCTGTGAGCTGCTCTAGCAAATTAATCAAACCCAAAGAGTTGGTTGCAGAAACTCCAACTTGAAGCTAGTCAGTCAGAAGTCCCAGAGTCCTGGCCTTGTGACTGGTGTCTGAAGGTGGGGAAATTTCAAGGACTGAGCCCCACAGCTGTGGGATATGACACAATCTCCAAGTAGGTTGTGTCAGAATTGAACTAGAGGACACCCAGCTGGTGTCTGCTGCAGAATGGATTGCTTGCTGAAGGTGGGGAGAAATCTTTATATATTTTGGACTCACAGAAGTCTTCTGTGTTGACTGTTACGTTGTGGTATGAGAGCAGAGGAAACATGTTTTGAGTTTTTCCAAACATTTGTCTGGGTGTGGATCTCTTTGAATTTATGCTACTTTGTGATGACCTTTTGGATGTGTACTAATGTTTTTCATCAGATTTGTGGAGTTTCCAGCCATTAATTCTTAAAATACTCTTTCTGACCCTTTCTCTTTTTCCTTGCTCTTTTGGACTCCCATTGAGCATATGCTGGTATGCTTGATGATATCTGACAAGTATCTGAGGCTCTATTCATTTTTCTTTTTGTTTCTCAGAGTAGCTGATCTCAATTGACTTATTTTCAAGTACTCTGGTTCTTTCTTCTGCCTGCTTAGATCTGCTGTTGAGCCCCTCTAGAGAATTTTTCATTTCAGCAATTGAACTGTTAAACTCCAGAATTTTTATTTGCTTCTTTTTAATAATGTCCATCTCTTCATTGTTTTTCTCTATTTGTTGAGGTGTTGTTTTGAAACATTCCTTTAGCTCTTTAGACATGGTTTCCTTCAGTTATTTGTTCATATATATAAGTAAACACATGTATAAGTTTATTACGCACACTGAACATATTTCTCTTTTGCAATTTAATCTATATAGAGTTTAACTTTCAGTGCTTGAGGGAGGTAACATCACATGGTATTGGGCCATCACATTTTCAAAGGGAAATTACTCTTTTTCCTTAAAAGTACTTTAAAAAATGTGTGAAAATACAAATGGGTCTGCTGAATTACAATGGATATTTTAGAATGAGAAACATGTCTTTTCTTCCTTCAGAGTGCCACGTGGGAAATGACGTCTTGTAACCCTGAGCCACTTTGTCTAAAATCCAATATAAAAGGACTGTTAAGGAATGAAAAGTTCACACAACTCCTTGGATAAGTTAAAGTTCGCTACATGCAACACAGCGTACAAAACACTTAAGACTTGGTAGCTTTCTGAAATTTGAGTCCCAATCTCATATTTAATGGAAATTAACATTTATAGGTTGCATTCACATACACTGTAATACAGGAATGATATTCCTTTGCCAGAAGATGAAATTGTACATTTCCTTGCTATTTCTGGGTTCTGACTTGATAATTTCTTAAGATTGTAAATTATATAGTACTCAGCTAAAAACATTTCATAAATAGCTATAAAATCTACCAAAACACAAAGGGGGGAAAAAGACATTTGAACATTACACAGCACAAAAAACAATGCTTAGAGACATGAGACATGTTATTGTCTCCAGAAGAAAATGGTCAGTGAACTACTTAGCTGAAGACAAAAGACTACCCTTACCCAGGGTCACAGTGCACAAAAAGCAAAATGTCAAACAACAATACCTCAAAGCAAAATAAAGGCCAGGATGAAGCCAGCTCACTTGTAATTTGCTAAAGAAAGAGAGTCACCATTTAGGTCAAATGTACTGGGAACATTTGCTAGCTCAGAGTGGTATATTGGTAGAATTTGCTAAAAATTCAACCAAGCATGCCAAAGACATTTGCCAACCAAAGCTTAATTTTCTGGAAGCATTTCTAATATCAGAAAATTTATAAACTGTGCCACATCTTCACGGGACCAGCTATACTTTTCCACAAGTACATCAGAAAGGGTCTAGGGCTTTAGCCTGGTGATGTGCTGCAGTTCTCCTTTGTAATTGAAGAATTCCCCAAAACATTTTACAAATAGAGTAAAGTGCTTTGGGATACTGCCTAGCAGCTCTATGATGTAGGCTATACATCTTCATCTCTTGAATAGTCTTCCCAGAATGCAGTCTTTGAACATATTTAAAATAGCTGATTTAAAGTCTTTGTTTATTTTAGTAATTCCAACATCTATGCTTCCTTAAAAACAGTTTCTAGGCCGGGTGTGGTGGCTCATGCTTGTAATGCCAGCACTTTGGGAGGCCAAGGCGGGGGGATCACGAGGTCAGGAGATCGAGACCATCCTGGCTAACACGGTGAAACCCCATCTCTACTAAAAATACAAAAATTAGCTGGGTATGGTGGCGGGCACCTGTAGTCCCAGCTACTCTGGAGGCTGAGGCAGGAGAATTGTGTGAACCTGAGAGGCGGAGCTTGCAGTGAGCTGAGATCACGCAACTGCACTCCAGCCTGGGCAGCAGAGCAAGACACCATCTCAAAAAAAAAAAAAAAAGCAGTTTCTATTGCCTACTTTTCTTCTGTGTATGAACCACACTTTTTTTTTTATGTCTTGTAATTTTTTTGAAAACTAGACATTTTAAATAATACAATGTAGTAACTCTGGAAATCACATTCTTCTTTCTCCCCAGCACTTGATGTTGGTGTTGTTTTGTAGGTGGTGTAATAGTTGTTTTTGCTGTTTGTTTAATAAATCCTCCAAACAAATTCTGTAAATCCTGTATTCTTTGTCCTGTCTAGGAATTTATCCATTTTTCTCTAGGTTTTCCAATTTATTGGCATATAGTTTCTCATAGTAGCCACTAATAATCCTTTGGATTTCTGTGGTATCACTTGCAATGTCTCCTTTCTCATTGCTGATTTAATTTGTTTGAGTCTTCTTTTTTTCCTTCATTGGTCTGGCTAAAGGTTTGTCAATTTTGTTTATCTTTTTAAAAAAACAACTTTCTGTTTTACTGATCTTTCATATTGTTTTCTTCATTTCAAATTCATTTATTTCTGTTCTGATCTTTATTTTTCCTTCTACTAAGTTTGGGTTTGATTTGCTTTTGCTTTTCTTGTTCTTTAGGATGCATTATCAGGCTATTTATTTGAAGGTTTTCTTCTCTTTTGATGTAGGCATTTATATCTATAATCTTTCCTTTCAGTATTGCTTTCTCTGTATCCCATAGATACTGACATGTTGTGTTTTCATTATTATTTGTTTCAAAAAATTTTCAATTTCCTTTTCAATTTCTTCATTGACTTGCTGGTCATTCAGGAACACATTCTTGAATTTCTATGTGTTTGTATAGTTTCCAGAATTCCTGTTGTTGATTTCTAGCTTTATTCCATTGTGGTTGGAGAAGATGCTTGATATGATTTCAATTTCTTTGAGTGTTTTAAAACTTGTTTTGTGACCTAACATATGGTCTGTCCATGAGAATGATCCATGTGCTGAGGAGAAGAATGTGTATTCTGCAGCCTTTGGATGAAATGTTCTGTGAATATGTATTAGGTCTATTTGGTCTATAGTGCAGATTAAGTCCAATATTTCTTTTTTGAGTTTTTGTCTGGGATAGATATCTGTTTGATGCTGAAAGTGAAGTGTTGAAGTATCCAGCTATTATTGTATTGAGGTCTACCTCTGTCTTTAGCTCTAATAATGTGTGCTTTATATATCTGGGTGCTCCAGTGTTGGGCACATATATATTTTACAATTATTCTATTGCTGGATTGACTCCTTTATCATTATATAATGATCTTCTTTGTCTCTTCTTACAGTTTTGTCTTGAAATTTAGTTTGTCTGATATAAGTATAGCTACTTCTGCTCTTTCTTGGTTTCCATTAGCATGAAATATCTTTTTCTTTCTTTCTTTCTTTCTTTTTTTTGACATGAAGTCTTTCTCTGTCATTCAGGCTGGAGTGCAGCGGTGCAATCTCAACTCACTGCAACCTCTGCCTCCTGGGTTCAAGCCATTCTTCCACCTCAGCCTCTGGAGTAGCTGGGATTACAGGCATGTACCACTACACCTGGCTAATTTTTTGTACTTTTAGTAGAGACGGGGTTTCGCCATGTTGGCCAGGCTGGTCTCGAACTCCTGGCCTCAGGTAATTTGTCTGCCTCGGCCTCCCAAAATGCTGAAATATCTTTTTCCATCCCTTTATTTTAAGTATACGTGTATCTTTATAGGTGAATTGTTTATTGTGGGCAACAGATTATAGGGTCTTGTTTTTTCATCCATTCAGCCACTCGATGTCTTTTGACTGGAGAGTTTAGTCCATTTACATTCAATGTTATTATTGATAAGTAGAGACTCACTCCTGGCATTTTGTTGTTTATTTTCTGTTTGTGCCGTTGTCTTCTCTCTCTTCTTTCCCTTCTTTTTGTGTTCCTTTTAGTGAAGGTGATTTTCTCTGGCGGTATGATTTAATTTCTTGCTTTTTATTTTTTGTGTCTCCATTGTATGGTTTTTGATTTGAAGTTATCCTGAGGGTAGCAAATACTATTAATAACTCATTATTTTAAACGGATGACAACTTCACAATGATTGCATAAACAAACAAACATGCAAAAAGAAAACTAAAAAAATTCTACACTAACTTCATCTTTTTGCTTTTTAACTTCTTGTTGTGTCTCTTTATGTCTTATTGTACTATGTCTTGAAAAGTTGTTGCAGTTATTATTTTTGATTGGTTCATCATTGTCTTTCTACTTAAGACAAGAGTAGCTTACACACCATAATTACAGTGTAGTAGTATTCTGTGCTTACTATTACCAGTGGGTTTTGTACCTTCAGATGATGTCTTCTTGCTCATTAACACTCTTTTCTTTCAGATTGAAGAACTCCCTTGAACATTTCTTACAGGGCAGGTCTGGTGTTGATGAAAACCCTCAGCTTTTGTTTATCTGGGAAGGTCTTTATTTCTCCTTCATGTTTGAAGGATGTTTTCCCTAGATATACTATTCTAGGATGAAAGTTTTTTTCCTTAAGCACTTTAAATATGTCATGCCACTCTCTCCTGGCTTGTAAGCATTCCTCTGAAAAGTCGGCTGCTGGATGTATTGGAGCTCCATTGTATGTAATTTGTTTCTTTTCTCTTGGTGCTTTTAGGATCCTTTATCCTCAACCTTTGGGAGTTTGATTATTAGATCCCATGGAATAGTCTTCTTTGGTTTAAATCTGCTTGGTTTTCTATAACCTTCTTGTACTTGAGTGTTGATATTTTTCTCTAGGTTTGGGAAGTACTCTGATATTATCCCTTTGGATAAACTTTCTGCCCCTATCTCTTTCTCTACCACCTCTTTAAGGTCAATAACTTCAATTTGCCCTTTGGAGGTTATTTTCTAGATCTTGTAGGTGTGCTTCATTATTTCTTATTCTTTTTTATTTTGTCTCTGCTGACCGTATATTTTCTAATAGCCTGTCTTCAAGTTTCCTAATTCTTTTTTCTGCTTGATCAGTTCTGCTTATTAGGTGACTGGTGTCAGTTGCATTTTTCAACTCTAGAATTTCTACTTGATTCTTTTTAATTATTTAAATCTCCTGGTTAAATTTATCTGATAGAACTCTGAATTCCTTCTCTGTGTTATCTTGAATCTCTTTGAGTTTCCTCCACACAGCTATTTTGGATTTTCTGTCCGAAAGATCACATGTCTGTGTTTCTCCAGGATTGGTTCCTGGTACCTTATTTAGTTCATTTCATGAGGTCATGTTTTCCTGGATTATCTTGATGCTTGTAGACAGGTGTTCATTGGTGTCTGGGCATTGAAGAGTTAGGTATTTATTGTAGTCTTTGGAGCCTGGGCTTTTTTTGTGCCTATCCTTCATGACAGGGCTTCCCAGATATTCAAAGAGACTTGGACCCCAAGCCCAACAATACTGTGGTTCTTTCAGATTCATGGAGGTACCAACTTGGTGGTCTTGGATAAGATCTGGAAGAATTCTCTAGATTACAAGGCGAGGACTCTTGTTCTTTTCCATTTCTTTCACCCAAACAAATGAAGTCACTCTTTCTCTGTGCTGAGCTGCCTGGAACTGGAGGTTTGGTGATGGAAGCACTCCTGTGGCCACCACTACTGAGTCAGACCTGAAGCCAGCGCAGCCTGCTCTTACCACTTGCCAAAGGCCTGCTCTTACCACTACCTGGCTACCACCTGTGTTCACTCAAGGCCTTAGTTAGGGCTTTACAATCAGCAAGTGGTGAAGCCAGCGGGGTTTGTGTCCTTCCTTTCAGGGCAGCAAGTACCCTCAGGTCCTAGGCAGGTCCAGAGATGCTGTCTAGGAGCCAGAGATTGGAGTCAAAAATCTTAGAAATTTGCCTGATGTTCTATTCTACTGTGGCTAAGCTGGCACTCAATTCATGATATGAAGTCCTTCCCATTCTTCCCTCACCTTTCCATAGGGAGATGATCAGCTGTTTTTCTAGCATACATGCTCCTAGATTATCTCAAGCCTTTGGTTGATTTCCAGAGCTTTGAAAAAGTTAATTTTGACACTTTTTGCACAGTGTTCTCATAGTTTTTGTGAAGAAGAGGGTTTTTCGAGGTCCTTACTCCTCCATTTGCATTTAATTCACCTCTGCTGACTTTTTAACTGCATTTTATAATAATTTCCATAGTAGTTACTCTAGTGATTAAAATATGCATATCAACTTGTTAGTATCCTATTTCAGACTAATGTTGACTTAATTCTAGTCAAATGTAGAAACTTCGCTTCAATTTAAATCCACCACCTTTTCTTTTCTTTGTGCTTTTATTGGCATATATATACATAGAATGACCACGGCGGACCCTTAAGCACTGCAGGTGTTCAGGGTGCCAACCCCCTGCACAGTTGAAAAAATAAGTTTTGATTCTCCCCAAACTTAACTACTAATAGCCTACTCCTGAACAGAAGCTTTCAGATAACATCAACAGTTGCTTAACACATATTTTGTATAGGTATTATAGAGTGTATTCTTACAATAAAGTAAGCCAGAAAAAAAAGGAAAATGTTCTTAAGAAAATGATAAGGAGGAGAGATTGGGTGAGGTAGCTCATGCCTGTAATCCCAGCACTTTGGGAGGCCAAGGCGAGTGGATCACCTGAGATCAGGAGTTTGAGACCAGCCTGACCAACAAGGTGAAACCGTGTCTGTACTAAAAATACAAAAATTAGCTGGGCGTGGTGGTGTGCACCTGTAATCCCAACTACTTGGAGGCTGGGGCAGGAGAATCGCTTGAACCCAGAAGGTGGAGGTTGCAGTGAGCCAAGATGGAGCCATTGCACTCCAGCCTGGGCAACAGAGTGGGATTCCATCCCCCCCTGCAAAAAAAGAGAATTATAAGGAGGAGAGACTGTATTTCCTATTCATTAAGCATAAGTGGACCATCATAAAAGTCTTTATCCTTGTCATCTTCACCTTGAGTAGGCTGAGGAGGAAGAAGAGGAGGGGTTGGTATTACTGTCTCAGGGGTGGTAGCCGCAGAAGAAAATTCACATATAAGTGGACTTGTGCAGTTTAAACCTGTGTTGTTAATGGGCCAACTGTACATATGTATAAACATAGAATGATAAATATTTACATCATATATATATATATATGTAATATCTATGTGTGATTTAAACCCATCAATAGTCAGCAATAATGTTACTGTTTTTCATTACCTGATAAAAGTACCTGGCTGACCAGGCTGGCAGGGTTTTGGAGCTATTCCCAGCAATAAGTCCAAAGACTCTTACTCTTCCTTCCCCAAAGTTCTAGCAACTTTTCATTACTAAATACCTCTGTTGTTGTTTGCCTTTGGTAAATTTCCAGAGCCAGAAAATTATTGGTTTTTAATAATTTTGTCCAGTTTTATACTTGCTTTTTTGGAGAGAGAATTTGCTGACTTCTTTACTCTGTGATAGTCAGATGTCCCACCTCCTACATTAAATTGATTTTATGTATGGAGTAGAAGTGAATTTCTTTCTTTCTTTTTCCATGTGGATATCCAGTTAACTTAACATCATTTATTGAAAAGATGATCTTTTCCCCATGACTCCTGTTTTCAAGCCTTACTTCTGCAAATTTGCCAATAACTGTCAAAATTTATCTTCATGGTATATTCACGTTCAAGAGAGTATAACTGGATTTTTCAACCTATCTCCTCATAATTGATTGAGGAATATTTTTACTAATTTTAATTTCAAAATTTTCTTTCACACATAAAGCAACAAATATGAAAATAGTTACAGAAATTCTTTAAAAATATCCTGTAGCTAATAAATAAATTTTGATAAAGCTGAACATCCTGCAAGAGGTATAATTTAGGCAGCTCTCCGTTGTACCAATGATGTAATATTGCATTTTCTTAATTTAGTCTGAAGTTTTAAAACAATTCATAATTTTAAAAAGAATCAATTGCAATTTTAAAGATACCAACCAAATTTTCTAAAATATTTTATATATTGACAAAAATTTACATTCAGCTGCTACAAAAACCTCAGTTCTCATTCTTTTTCTCTTACTGTTTTAAAAATTTCAACACTGATCTAAATTTCCAAGTGATCTCATAGAAAGACGAAATGTAAATAATTTAAGTTCTGTTTCTTTGTCTTACAATCACCATATTATCATTGTTTATTTTGAATCTACTGTTTAAGCACAGGAATTTGTAATACCACAGGAAATATAAATAGCAATTTTGAATAGTTACAAATGTAACCACCACCACCACCAAGATACAGAACAGACCTATCGATCCCCTGCCCTATTTGTTAGTAAGACTTTCCTCCCACCTCTGTCCTGCCAATCTCTGATCTGTCTTCTGTTCCTATAATTTTGCTTTCTCCAGAACGTCATATAAATGGGCTCATACAGCATGTAGCCTTTTGAGTCTGGCTTCATTGGAGCACATTTGAGTTTATCTATTTTGTGTGTGCCACTAGCTCATTCCTCTATATTGCTCAGTAATATTCCACTGAAGGTGTTAAATTAAGTTTACCTAAAGCTGCCTTCTTATAAGTTCAGCCTAGAGGTTTTTCTGTACATAGTGAAGTGTAAACTAACTGGATGTATAAACAGCCTGCAACTCACTCTTGTAACAAGCAGCCAATCCCAGCAGCCGTACTTCAACCACTCACAGGCGGCCGACTGCTTGAACAGTGTTCAAATAAGGCAGACTCCAGGCAGTAACCAATTCAGCTGTTGCTGTACCTCACTTCCGTTTTCTGTAATTCACTTTCCTCTTTCTGGCCATAAATCCTCTCCAACCACGCGGCAGTGCCAGAGCTTCTCTGAAGCGATTCTGGTTCTATGGGCTGCTCAATTCATGAATTGTTCTTTGCTCAGCTAAACTCTGTTAAATGTAATCTGTCTAGGTTTTCTTTTAACAAAGTCAGGTACCCTAGTGTGTTTATCCACTCTCCACTTGAGAGAGATGTAGGTTGTTTCCAATTTGGGCAATTATGAATAAAGCCACTAAAACATTTTGTGTGTTAGTTTTTGGGTGACTTTAAGTTTTTAATTTCAGTTGGACAATTGTATAAAATGTCAAATTTCTTCCTAAGTACTTGATAACTTTTGACGAAGTAAATGGTATCTAACTTTTTTTTTTCATATTTGAACTATTTGTTGCCGGGATAGAGAAATAAAATTGAGTTTTGTATAGTGACAATCTACCTAGAAAACTTGCTAAATTTGGGCTGGGTGTGGTGGCTCATGCCTGTCATCCCAGCGCTTTGGGAAGCCAAAGCTGGCAGACTGCTTGAGCTCAGGAGTTCTACACCAGCTTGGGCAACACAAGGAGACATTATAATCTTATGAGACCGCTGTAGAAAATGCAGTCCATTGTTGGCTAAAATATGGCTATGTGGCACATGACCATATTTAATTCCAATAGTTTAACAAGGATTTACTTGGAATTTTTATGTACACAAATAATTGCTGCAAATTCCATTATTCTATTAAGGAAGTTCCGTTCCATTTTTAATTTGCTAAAAGTAATTTTAATTGACTTGAAGAGTATTGCTTTCCCCACGCAAGCACTGCTCAGAAGTCTCAGTGTAGACATGGAGAAAGAGAACAGTTGGATTGGTTTAGATTGGGGTGTTTTGGGTGGTTGTTACGGAAGCACAACAGAGCGAGGTAGTTTAGGATACTAGTGAAGGGGCAGCTGAAGCGATGAGGCATGGAGTTGAAACCAGGCAGGGAGACAGAAAGCATGAGAGGGAAAAAGAGGAGAGGCTGGATGGATATGAGCAAAGGAGAGAGTCACTGAATCAGAGGACCCAAGGATGTTGAAAAGCAGGCACAGTTGGAGTGAAGAAATGAAACAGAAAGAATGGTCAGGGAGAAACCATAGTCTTCAACTCTGGTTGTGTATTGAAAACACCTGGGGTTCTTAGAAATGGACCGATGCCTGGGCCCCAATTGGGGTCAATTAAGTTAGGCTTTTTCAGTGTTCAGGGGAAGGGGTGCCAGGGACTGGAATTTGGTGACCTGTGGTTCTAGTGTGGAGTCAGGGTGGAGACTCCGCACTGGGGAAGTCTGCAGGGGTGATTTCAGCAGGGCAGTATGAAGATGCAGGGTGCACGGAGAGCACAGCAGACAGCTGAGGTGGAATGGAGCCAAGAAGTGATCTGGAAACAACCATGACTGGGGGATGACACTGACTCTGAGGTGTCCTGCTGCAGGTGGGGGTGGGAGAAAGAGCGGCCTTCCACTGAGGGAGCCGAGGGAAGTGGGGTCTCAGAGGGATCTAGGATCACCTTTTGGTCGGGAGGTGTGGGAAACACTCAGAAAACAGCAACCAGTTTGGTGGGTTTGATTTTCTAAAATCGTGTAGACGCCTACAATTGTGTAACTGATCATGTGTCCCTTTAGGTGCTGGGGCTGGAGACAGCTTTGCAGCTAAATTTGGGGCCCACCTCTGCGAAGTACATAGACCTTTATGGGTTTCCTGCGTTCATTTTCCTCCTGCCCTTTTCTACCATTATTTTCCATTTGCCTGGAATTCATTACTTATTTTCAAAATTTATTTTATCTGGGATTATATGTATCTTCCTAAGTTGCCCGAAACATGTGTTTGGTACAGGGTAGATTATAAATACATTCACATAAAAGAATTCTTTACATTACAAAATGATTCATTATAACCTTCTCTCCAATGACTAATTTCTCCAGTGCATTGAAGATATTATTCTGTTTATATGCCACTTTCCCAAAACACATTTATTATATAAGAGAAATGTATTTTTTATTTGATCTTATTTTTGTTATGTAAGTAACAGAAAATTTTAAGGTAAGGAAAAAGAAATAAAATTTTATATAACCTCCTTATGTTAAATTGAACAATCTAATGTTAGATAACTTAGAACAAGTTGCTTCCCTTTCATTTCTGGTGAGTGCATTTGGTGAGTTTTATGTTTACTGTATCAAACTGACAAAGAAGTGTGTACAAGCTGACCTCAAACAACAGAGATGACTGTTTTGGCACCTGGTTTTTAGCACAGTTGCATGTAGAGCCGTCTGATAAATGATAGAAAAATTTAGTAGATTTGGGGAGTTTGGTTTTGATGTTGATTGAGGACTGAGTAAAGATTCAATGCCTGACAACGTGTGGCTTGTAGATTAATAGCTCTGATTGTTGCATGTATCAGATAAAATGATCAGGAAATCTGAGCATCTCTTCTGGTGGTTAAGAGCCTGAGCTCCGCACTTTGTAGTTACCTGATCTTTTTAAGCTTCTGTTTTATCACTTGTGAAATGGGAACAGCAATAGCATCTACCTAATAGAGATAGGGTGAGAATTAAATAAGACAATGAATTTAGAGCATTGAGCATTGTGCATGGCACGTATTGAAAACTGTTTATAGATGTTTATTTGAAAAAAAATTCAAAGGCTTTCACTCTCATTTTGTTCTCTACAGGGTGTTATTTTACTTGTTGCAATGCATCTCCATACATCTCTCTTAAAATACTATTTTTTTTTTAAACTCTAAGTTCTGGGATACATGTGCAGAATGTGCAGGTTTGTTGCATAGGTCTACATGTGCCATGTGCCATGGTGGTTTGCTGCACCTATCAACCCACCATCTAGGTTTTAAGCCCCACATGCATTAGGTATTTGTCCTGATGGTTTCCCTCCCCTTGCCCCCCACCCTCCGACAGGCCTCGTGTGATGTTCCCCTCCCTGTGTCCGTGTGTTCTCAATGTTCAACTCCCACTTACGATAAGAACATGTAGTGTTTGGTTTTCTGTTCCTGGGTTAGTTTGCTGAGAATGATGGCTTCCAGCTTCATCCATGTCCCTGCAAAAGACATGAACTCATTCTTTTTTATGGCTGCATAGTATTCCATGGTGTATATGTGCCACATTTTCTTTATCCAATCTATCATTGATGGGCATTTGGGTTGGTTCCAAGTTTAAAAGACTAATTTCTTAAGGATAGAGAGTCTCTCTGTTATGTCCCACAATGCCAAGTACAGAAGACTCTTCAGCTGGTGAATTTGGTTCTCTAGATCGATATCTTAACACATGACACTGGCATGTTGGAGCCAGCGTGCTTACAGAAATTTACTAGGAAACTACCTGGAATGTGGAATTTACTCTCTGATTCCGTAGACCCATCTGCCTTCAAATGTTTGTCAGTTGCCTCTTTGGGTTCTCTGCTGCCTTTTTAGTTCATCAATTTGTTTAGTACTTTCATGATGCCTAGAGGATATGGGTATTATGGATGTCAATAGTTATTTCAAAGCTAGTTTTTTTTCCCTCAGTTTAATTTTAGTTGTGTAGTACTTGGGGAAGCAAAGTATTTCTATGTAATTTCTCCAGGTGTACTTTTTCTTGCTGTTCTCAACATCTCTGGGAATTGATGTTGTCTGGCTGGTCAAGATGTGAAGTTTTTAAAATTTCTTTCTCCCCCTCCTTCATAATTTCCACTGGGAAATTTTGTAATTTTCAGGACTTGAGGGGCTTGCGTTTTGCTTTGCTTTAGCAACAAATGTAATCACCAAATCCCCAAAGCAGAAACATGAGGAACTGAGCAAAAATTCTGAGCAGTCTCTAAGTTAAGGGTATGATGATCAGGTCTGAGAATATGCAACATTCATACTTACACAACCACATGTCTGCAACTTTGGACTTTGACCCGTCTTAGTACTCATCACTCCAGACTAGCTGGGAAACCCCTATTTATAAGGAACAAAGCAGCTGGTGCCTGCAGAACTCATCCTCAGGCTTAGGACTGAAGGCAGGCATGGTGAGGTGGGGCAGGGGTGAATTTGACTAATGAAGAACATGAGTTCTGAAACCCTGTCTTGTTGTTCAAAAATAGGTATGGAAATGTGGTGGATGTTCTTTCTAAGAGAAAAACCTACATCATTAAGAAAGCCAGACTGGCAGGGCGTGGTGGCTCATGCCTGTAATCCCAGCACTTTGGGAGGCCGAGGCAGGCACATCACGAGATCAGGAGATGGAGACCATCCTGGCTAACACGGTGAAACCCCGTCTCTATTAAAAGATACAAAAAATTAGCCGGGCGTGGTGGCGGGTGCCCGTGGTCCCAGCTACTCGGGAGGCTGAGGCAGGAGAATGGCGTGAGCCGAGATCGCGCCACTGCACTCCAGCCTGGGCGACAGAGCGAGATTCCATCTCAAAAAAAAAAGAAAGAAAGCCAGATCAAGCATTGGGATCCTTCCTCTCCATTCCCCTGGCTCTTCAGCCACCTTTAATGACACTTTACATCACAGAATTTAATGTGAATTCTGGATCCTAGCAAAATATTTTGACTTGGGGTTTTATTCATGGTATCGTTTTGCTAACTGTGGTCTCTCATTAGTCTTTTAAGAATTACATCTCACGCTGTTGGTTTTATTAAAAGACTTCACAGCTCACTGAATTTTTTCATGCTATCTTTTCTAACCTATTTTTTAAATTGAAAAGGTGATACATACACATAGTCTAAAAAATTGATAGAAGAATATGAGTGGAGAAGCAGAGACAAGGCTTTCTCTTTCACTGCTGATTTCCAGTCCTCCAAGCCACCTCCACAGAGTTAGCCGTTCCTACCAGTTTGCTTTGTGTCTTTCTGCAATTTTCCACGCATCTAGGAACATATATATGGATATTCATTCTATGCATACTGATTTGTATCATGCATTTTTCTGTTTTTTGTTTCTTTCTATATCAGCTCATGGATCTCCACCTCATTCTTTTTCAAAGCTGTTAGGCTTGTCTTTTACATTCTAATTTAATTTTAAGAAGAATAAGAAACCTATTTTTCGTTTTTGCCTCCTGCTCTGACCGGCCACAGGCCGCCACACCTGGGACAGGCCTAGTGTGATTTAATTACGGTGGCCCTGGGAACATCTCCCAGTTACACAATATTTTTTCCTTCCTGGCATTCCTGAGGCCCATAATTCCCTAATTAACCTGCATCCCTTTGATTTTTGCTTTGCCCATCTGCTCAGATGTAAATATTCCTGGGAATCTTGTGTGTGTTTTTCCATCCAGTCTTAGTGCTAGTGAATTTCTCAGCTCCTTTTCAGGGAATGCATTTAGCTGAGATAGGAAGATGACCAAACTGAAGGCTCTGAACACTGGGGGTGAGGGTGGGAGGAGGGAAGAAAGGAGAGACTGGGGCCCCTCCTCAGCTTGCTCCCCGTTGTTTCTGGAGTCTCCTTTCCATGAGTTCCATCATGGCATGTGATACCATGCAAGGAAGCTGGGTGGTGTATGGAAGCTTTCTCGTCAATGTTTTCTTGGTTGCAGAGTCTATACACTTAGGGTAGTCCCAGCAGAGGCATATGGGATATACATTCCAGGCTGAGGAAGAGTTCCTTTCTATCTAGGAAAATACCGAGCAGCATCACAGCAAATGTGATGATTCTGTTGACAGAAAAATGAGCAAACACCTAGCAACTTGTATACAGTTGTATACCCGCAAAGTGGGTTTTTGTGTGTGTGTGTGTTTATGCCACCATTTATTGAGCACTTACTGTGTGTTGGGCATTGGGTGGAACAGCTCTGCGTACTTATTTTTGTATGTATGAATTTTATTTTAAGCTTTACAATAGCCCTATGAGGTAGATAGTGTTACCCTCATTTTACTGATTAAAAAAAAACAACAACTAAGGCTCAGAATGTTTACAGTGTACAAGGTAGTAAAAGGCAGAGTTGGGATTTGAACCTGTCTCAAAATGAAGTGCTCCTGTTCTAAGTCACTCCCGGGACCCACTGAGGTTGATGGGGTATCTGGCCTGGGAGGTGTTCCATGCGGGAAGGTGCTGCTGGCAAACAGAGGAGCAGAACACCTTTGGAAAGCTGGTTGCCTTGCTGGGCAAGAGAGCAGCCTGAAGGCACCTGGCCAAAATGCACACACAGGTGGGCAGAACAGAGACTGAGGTGGCCCAAGAATGACCAACAGCAGAAGGAAGGAAGGAGAGTTGGGAGTGGCTAAATTAGCAAGTGTGGAGATGGCGATGATGGCTGCTGACATGGTTGAGTTGAGTCACGGGTGAAGCACTGATCTGAGAACGTGATGTGCTTTAACTCACTTAATCCTTGTCCTGCTTTTAGAGTAGGCACTAGTTTTATCCGCATTTTGCAGACAGGAAACTGAGAGATAGAGAGTTTATACAGCTTGCTCCAGAGCATACAGCAGGATTTGAAAATAGGCATGAGTTTGTCCTCCTACCTCCCACCGCCTCCCCCACCCGCAGGTTCCGCTGCCCCCTGTGCCACTTGTTTGTGTTCCCTCTTTTTTTTTTTTTTCTTGCATCCTGGTAAAATCCCTTATGGTGATTTTCAAGGCAAAGCCAAATGGCTCATTCTCCCTGGAGTCTTTTCTGATCCTTGTTTTCTACTGCTTCTGGCTCCTGAGTCATTAATCATTACCTTCTAGCTGTCCCTATAGCACTTGGCTCATGTACTGTTGAAGCATTTAGGACATTGTATTTAAATTGCTAGATTACAAGAGCCTCGAGGTTGAGGAGGCACGTTTCATCCACCCTCGGTGCCTGGAACAGCACTGGTGACAATGGTAGCTGCTCCCTATGTGTTTCCTGAATGGCTCGTAGATTGGATCCCACTCTATGTTGAGTTCTTGGGTTTCCCCATGGCACTGCAGAGAAGTGGAACATCCAGGAGGTCACCGCAGCAGGCTCATGGGATGCTGGACTGTCATTCATTGACGTTCGGAGCTCAGCAGCAGCTCTGGGGCACCTGCAGCACCTGTGGTGTCAGGGCTCCTCGCTGCTGCTTGGAGTAGGTGTTCCTTATTGCAGTGACTTCACTCTTCTTGCAAACAGGTGTCTCTCCATTCTTCCATTCCTGTCTGCTTTTATACCACGGACTGTTGATGCTGCTTATCTTAGACTCTAGGAGGGAGGATCTGACCCCCATGGCTGGTTTCTATCTAGTGTCAAGTGCTGCTCTTGGGCAGAGGTCTCACGCCAAGCACCCTCTGAACCCCTAGCCTTTGTATATGGCCTGGGCACCAGGTCTTGCATGTAGTGAGGTTGATCTTGGTAGAATCTGGAATTTCTCAGGGATGTTTATGTATGGATAGAAATAATATGATTTCTACTTTGTTAATGTCCAGTTTATTAATCTTCAAACAACCAACATTCCTCTAAATATTCAGACACTAGTTACACAATGATTAAATAAAGAACTTAGGAATTTAACAAATTTGATTTCTCCCAAATTTAAATATTGATTGCAAATTGAATTCATATGGGCACGAATCTAGTCTTATAAGATACTCTTGGTTGTTTCAAATGAGTTAAGAAAGAGCTAAAACACATAAGCAGCATTTCAAAGATTGCCAAGCTATTTTAATTGTACCTGATTTTAAAAAGGGCACCAATGTGCTAACAGCGGTTTAGGTTTGTGACTCCGTTGTCTGTATTTTCATTCCTCTATTGTATTCTTGTCATTATCTTTACCATTATTGTTTCTCTGCTCACCAAACCTAACCAGGGCTGCTAACAATTCAGTGCTATTGTGTGAATGAGAAACAGCAGTACTTCCTCAAGTAAGAAAAAAAAAGAACCGTATTATTTATTTCCTGTTCATAATAATGACAACAGTCATTCTAAATGAATTATACAAATCAAATTCCTGAACATAAAATGACAGTTCAAGTTTTAAATCATGATAATTAGAAAACTTTTGAGCTAAATGCTTTGTTATAAAATAGTTATGTGTACTGCCGTCCTGAAAACCACTTTCTGAGGGACATTTTTAATATTTACTAGTTCCGGTGTTTTGTTTTCTGCAGAAGTAGTTGCCATATTTGTCTTTCTTATGACACTGTAGACCTTAAGTACTTTTAAAATAAATTTTAATGTTGAGTAGTATTGATGACAGGTATTGGCAAAATTAAATAGAACCTGATAGTTACAACATCTTATAAATGTATCCAGGTGACTATTGCTGGAAATAAATTTCAGCACTTCAAAAGGAGTAATACTAAAGGATTTTGGTTCTGACGCTACATCAAAGTTCTACCATTGTCTTATTCCTCACCATAGTCATCAGTCAATTTTAATGGCAGAATTCGGTGTCATCGTTGCATTCATTTTCATTGTCATTTTTCAAATTATGCATGTCATTTAACATACTGAAAAAGCCGTAGTATTCTTTTGGTTTTACAAGCTTGTTTTTTTCCTTAGGTATGATATTTTATTTCTAATATAAAATAAACTGATTTTTAATCCTTTGACTTTGAAATTTCAAACATAAAAAGCAGTTAGAGGAGTAATACAATGACCATCAAAATCTTTTCACCCGGATTCACCAATTGTTGGTGTCTTGCCGAATGCGCTCCCTGTCACTTTTTTTTTTGCTGTTGGGACATTTGTAAGTTGCAGATGCCACGAGGCTCCCTGCACATATTTCTGCCTGTGTATCAACATTCTTCTACGCGTCCTCAGTGCCCTTGTCACACCTAACAAACTCGCTATTTCAATATAATCTAACCTGCAGTCCATATTCAAAATTTCCCAGTTGACTAATTATTCTCTATGGCTCACCCCTCCATTTCAGTCACATTTCATTCATAGCGCTTGGTTGTGATGTTTCTTCCATTTCCTTTGATCTAGAACATTTCCCTTGCCTTTGTTGTTGCTATTCCTGACCCTGACTTTTTTGACAAGGCAGGCCAGTTGTTTTGCAGAATGTGCCACAATCTAGATTTATCTGATGGTTTCCTCATGATTAGATCCAGGTAAAGCATTTGGCAAGAATATGGCAAGAATCCCTCTGAGGCAATGCTGCACATTCCTGCTGTCACACCAGGAGGCTCACAAGGGCGGTTTCTGTTTTCTTGGTGGTGCTCAATTTGATCAAAAAATGAGTTTGGAAGGCCTGTTTGAATCATAGATAGGCGGATTATGAGATTTTCCATGGAAATGAGTCTGCTTTCCCTTTCTAGGATTTTCGACATTGGAGAAGTCAAATGCATCCATGTCAAGAGACTTTGAGATTCATCGAGTGTCTTCGTAAATGGAAGTAGAGGAGTAGTCATGGGGTATCCAGGGAAAGAGCATTCCTGGCAGGGGGACGCAAGTACTTAGGTCCTGAGATAGGATTATGGTTGGTATGCCAGGAAGGCAGCAGGGAGGCCAGGGCTGAAGATTCACCAGAGAGGAGGGACTGGGCAGATCCTGATGGCCTCGAAAGCCTTTGTGAGAACCTTGCTTCCCGGCTAAGCATGGTGAGAAGCCATGGAGAGGGTCTGAGCAGGAGAGTGATGTGATTTGGCTTCCATTTTTTTTTCTTGTCACTTAGAATTTCTTTACTTATTGAAAGTGATCCTTCACACCAGCCAGAATGGATTTTTGTCATACATTGATTGCTCTTGTGCATACATAAAAAGGAAAATATTAAGTGAAAGCAATTGCTTAAGGTCTTTCTAAGGCAATGAAACCACATCACAACCGTCACCTGGCGGACTGTGACCTAAGGACCATCCTGACCAGGAATGTTAAAATGTGAAAAGATAACGTTGGTCCCCTCCTGTGTACCTGCACCTTGCTTCAGAAATGCAATTCCCAGTACTATCAAAGCCCCTGGTGTGACTCCTTCCTTCCACGCTGCGGACATGCATGCTCCTGACTTCTGTGTTCATCATGGCCTTGTGTTTGAGCTGTGTGGGCCGTTTTCTTTTCTTTTCTTTCTTTTTTTTTTTTTTTTTGAGACGGAGTCTCACTCTGTCGTCAAGGCTGGAGTACAGTGGCGCAATCTCAGCTCGCTACAACTTCTGCCTTCCAGGTTCAAGCAATTCTCCTGCCTCAGCCTTCTGAGTAGCTGGGGTTACAGGTGCCCGCCATCGCCCGCCATCGCCCGCCACCGCCCGCCACCGCGCGTGTGGGCCGTTTTCTTCTGCGCCTGGCCTTTTGACTGAGCAGTGCCTGCGGTCTCCTGGCTCCTGCAGTCTCCTCAGCAGTCTCCTGGCTCCTGTGTGTTGCTGCTGTGCGCCTTCCCTTTGCACCAAGTCCCCTTGTGTGCACATCCCACACTTCATCTGTTCTCCTGTTCAGGGACATTTGGCTGCTTCCAGGATTTGCTGCTGCAAACTTCTTTGCTATGAACGTTCTCCCACACATGAGTGTTTCTCCAGTGCCCAGACCTCTGGAATCACTAAGTCCACACGACAGACTTTCCAACGCTGTTTGCCAACAAAATCAGATGCTTCCCTCCTCCCGCCCCTGAACATCCCAGGAGGGAAAACCTGAATCCTGTTCTGCTGTCTATGGCTTGTCTGTCTGTGCTCAGTGGCTCTGGGGTAGGGGGAGAAAAAGAGGGAGAAGAGGAGATGGCGGTGGCAGGGGATGCTTCCCAGGCTGTAGCCTTGGGGAGCCCAAGCTGAGATCAGCCCAGACAAGGCTGCCCCTCATGCTGCCTCTGCAGAGCATGGGTGTGAGGGTGGTCCCCTGACTGGAGACCAGGGAACAGGGCTGCAGCACAGTGACATCATGGAATCCACTGAGCGACCACTGTTGCACTGTGAGACATGGAATCCTGGGTTGAGCCTGTGGCGGGAGAGCTGGACCGGCTTCCCCGGCACCTGTCCAGGAACTGCAGCTTCCTGCTGTGGCTCCAGCTTAATGGGGTTCCAAGGTTACAGCTGCCCTGGTCTCCAACATCCCTGTAGCAGAAACCCTAGCCCCTAACCACCCTCCACTCTCTCCAGGAAGGCTCCACAGTGTTGTTCTCCACGGCCTACCCCTTTGGTGGGACCACTGATTGCTTTGAGGAGGGCTGGCTTTGAAGTCCCTCAGGAAGAGCTGACCCCTCTGAGTCTGTCACTTGTAGAGCTGGACTGGCCATGTCAGCTCCCCTCGATTTGGAAGACGTCCCAGACTCTTCAGCTGTTGGTGGTTTGGTGAAGAGAGGAACCGAGTCTGCACCTGTGGGCTGCTCCAGGCTTCTTCTCGGCATCTCTCTCCCCAGGAACAGCTGGCCAAGGAGCAGCTGGGGGGTGGTTTTAGGGTGACTGCGCTCTCCTTCCTGGAAGCTCCGCCCTCCTCTCCTTCCTTCTGGGTGTGGCCCTCTCCGGCTTCCACCTCCTTTGCTCCTGTCGCCTTCACTGAGCAAGGATGAGCCAAGGCTCCAGGTTCTTGGCTTCCCCACCTTCAGCTGCCCCCAAATAGACCTGCTGGTCCTCTCTCCTCCCGTGATGGCCATGCTGGCGCTGCCCTCTCTCTGAAGACCTGCCGGCCGCCCCTCCCACACAGTCCCTGAGTTGCCTCTTCTGGGTGGCAGTTCCTGTTCTTGCTGCATTTGCCTGGCCTGGGCCTGCAGCCTTGGGTGCTGTGTACCCACCGCACCTGCAGTGCCCACAGCCCCTGCTGTGGCCCCTTTGGCAAGCCCTGCAAACTTGGTGGCTGCAGAGGCTCCTGTGCTTGGGGTGGATACGGTGGACATTCCATCAGCAGAGTATGTGTGTGGGGCGCAGGCTGGATTCTCCCTTCCCTGTACCCAGCAGATGCCATCAGAAGAGGTGGCCTCAGACACCTCACGGACCATGCAGAGTGTCCTCGTGCTGATTGGATCCCATGCCTTTCTCTGGAGCTCTGTGGCTGCTGACCTCTTCCTGCCTTCTGCAATCCAGCTGTGCCCACTGCGTCCCCGGCTGGGTGCTTCGGATACTGCTGCACTGACGCTCAGGGTCTCAGGAGATAAAGTGAGGCTTTCCTAGTATGAAAGAGGTCTTCCTAGGTGCCTGGAAAGGGATGTGGCCAGTGGCAAGCTTCAAGTGTAGCTGCTGTTTCTCTCAGCCATGGACAGAGCCTGACAGACTTCAAGGGGAGGAGCCTCCTGCCACTCTGGGCCTCATGCTGCATGCAGCTCACGGCCTGTGGCTGACCAGGCCAGCAGTGAGTGCCAGCAGTGGAACACTGGGGCTGGTCATGCAATGCCCGCAGTCGCTATTGAATCACAGTGCGCTCATCAGCCCCTTCTCCTCTTTTACTGATCTGGAGGAAGTCAGACATTGGTATGTATATTCATAAACATACTGAAGTCTCCCCAGCTTCGTGCCACTGCAGGTCCCTGTGGAGGCGCTGAGCATGCCTGTTGCACAGGCACTGGGGGCTGTGGGATGCAGCAGCATCCATCCACTGCTCATGTTATCTGTTTTTCTTTTCTTTTCTTTTCTTTTTTGAGACGGAGTCTCGCTCTTGTTGCCCAGGCTGGAGTGCAGTGGTGCCATCTTGGCTCACTGCAACCTCCCACTCCCAAGTTAAAGCGATTCTCCTGCCTCAGCCTCCTGAGTAGCTGGGATTACAGGCACCCGCATCATGCCTGGCTAATTTTTGTACTTTTAGTAGAGACAGGGTTTCACCATGTTGGCCAAGCTGGTCTCAAACTCCTAACCTCGGGTGATCCGCCCGCCTTGGCCTTCCAAAGTGCTGGGATTATAGGTGTGAGCCACTGTGCCTGGCCTCTGTTTTTCTTTTTTAAAGATAGCTCTGCCTCTGGAACTTGATCCACTCAAAGGGCTCCCCAGACCATGGTCTCAGCAAGGGGAAACACTGCAGCTGCCTGTCTTTCTTGGGCCTTCTCGTTGGCCTCAACATCCCCTCCTGCTGGGCCACATGTATCCTCTACTGCCCTCTGTGATTGCTCACTATTACATGTGCATTTGTCCTTATCTTCTGTAGCTAGTTGGCCCCTCAGGACAGGGTGACTGTCCTCACCCCCTAAATTTGCCATCATCTCCAAAGAAGGCAGGCTGACCCTACTGGGGGAACAGGGGGGAACGCTATTTACATTTTAATAGTGTTGCTCCAGCTGCTTGTCTTAATCCGTTTTGTGCTGCTGTAACAGAATAGCACAGACTTAGTAATTTATAATGAACAGAAATTTATTGAGTCATGGTTCCATAGGCTAGGAAGTCCAAGATCGGGGACCTACATCTGGCAAAGACCTTTTTGCTGCAACATCCCATGGCAGAAGGGCTAAGAGAGAGTGAGAGAGAGAGAGAGCAAGAGAGAGCCAAATTAGTCTTTTTATAAGAAACCCAGTCTCACAATAATGAACCCACTCTTGTGGTAACAGCATTAATCCATTTACCAGGGCATAGCTCTCATGGTTTCATCAATGGCTACTTTGGGATTAAGTTTACAGCACATATTTTTGGGGGACACATGCAAACCATAGCACTGCTGTGTGGGAAATTGAGTCTAGGAAGCAAGGTGGAAGACATATTACCTAGGAAGCTACTGTACCAGTCCAGGCAAGAGACAATGGCAGCTTGGCAAAGGGAATGCAGTGGAGGGTGACTGTGGTTAGGTTGCTAGTATTTTGAATGAGACCAAAGTGGATTTGCTGTGGACTGTGTAGGGGCAGGGTACAAAGTCAAAGATGACTCCAGGGTTTTGGCCTCAGTCTTTGGGTGAATCATGGTGCTGTTTACTGAGACATGGTGAACTGGTGAGGGTACAGGTTTGAGAAGAGAGGGACTAAAGAGCTCAGCTTCGAGCAACTTTAGTTTGAGATGCCTACTAGACATTTAAGATGAGATTTACTCAGGCTCAGCCCAGGCCATCTGGAGCTCAGGGGAGAAAGTGACGTGGGGATATAAATTTAGGGTCTAGAGTGTGTAAATGGTATTTGAACCCACGGGAAGGAATAAAACCCATGTCTTATGTCCAATCCCTTACTGTTTCCAGTAAGAAATAGGAAATGAGTGCCATGAAGGAAAAAGACCAGTTGGGTGACTGTAGACACGGAAGAGACCTGAGGATGATCCCAGGCATGAAATGTTGAGAGGGGGTAAGGTGATACTGGAAATTGCCCATCAGATTTGGCAATGTGAAGGTCTTTATGACTTGATGAGACTAATGTTAGCCTGGTTGACTGAGCTAGTGTATGTGGAGGGGTGGGGACGAGGGTGAGAATGTGGAATACTTCATTATATAACATTCTGAACGAGTTTTGCTGTAAATAGAAGCTCAGAAATGGATTGGTAGTTGGAGAGAAAAGGGGGATGGAGAGATTTTAAAATACTTTTGTAAATTTAATTTAACTTTATTTTAAACACCTTTACTGAGGTATATTTTACAGACCACAAAATCTAGCTACTTTAAGTATGCAATTCAATGATTTTTTATAAATGTACTGGTTTATGGTGCAAACATCACCACAAGTCAGTTTTAGAATATTTCCATCACCCCAACACAGTCCTTTCTGCCCACTTGGAGTTAATCCAGTTCCCACCTCCAAACCTAGGCAAATGCTAATATACTTCTTGCCTCTATAGATTCAACTCCCATGAGAAGGTCTTATAAATGAAATCATACAATATATTGTCTTCTGTGTCAGGTCTCTTTTGCTTAACATGGGATTCATTCATGTTGTGGCAAGTATCAGTATCTTGTTCTTTTTTATTGCTGAATAGTTGACATAATTTGGCTGTGTGTCCCCCCACCCAAATCTTATCGCCATGTAATCCCAATGTGTGGTGGGAGGTGACTGGATCATGAGGGCAGTTTCTGCCATGCTGTTCTCATGGTAGTGAGGGAATTCTCAGGAGGTCTGATGGTGTAAAAGTGGGAGCTTCCCCTGCACACTGTCTCCCTCCTGCTGCCTCGTGACAAAGGTGCTTGCTTCTCCTCCTTTTGCCATGATTGTAAGTTTCCTGAGGCCTCCCCAACCATGTGGAACTGTCAGTCAATTAAACCTCTTTTATTTATAAATTACCCAGTCTCAAGTAGTTTCTTTACAGCTGTGTGAGAATGAACTAATACAGGGAACTGGTACCGGGAGTGGGGCACTGCTATAAAGATACCTGAAAATGTGGAAGTGACTTTGGAACTGGATAACAGACAGAGGCTGGAACAGTTTGGAGGGCTCAGAAGACAGGAAGATGTGCAAATGTTTGGCACTTCCTAGAGACTTGTTGAATGGTTTTGACCAAAATGCTGATAGTGATATGGACAATGAAGTCCAGGCTGAGGTGGTCTCATATAGAGATGAGGAACTTATTGGGAAATGGAGTAAAGGTCACTCATACTATGCTTTAGCAAAGAGACTGGTGGCATTTTGCTCCTGCCCTAGAGATCTGTGGAACTTTGAACTTGAGAGAGATGATGTAGGGTATCTGGCAGAAAAAATTTCTAAGCAGCAAAGCATTCGAGAGGTGACCTGGTTTTTCCTGAAAATGTAGTTATATGCATTCACAAAGAGATGATTTGAAATTGAAACCTTTGTTTAAAAGGGAAGCAGAGCATAAACGTTTGGAGAATTTGCAGCTTGACCATGAAGTAGGAAAAAAAAATATTTTCTGGGGGAGAAATTCCAGCTGGCTGCAGAAATTTTCATAAGTAAAGAGGAGCCAGATGTTAATAGCCAAGACAATGCAGAAAATGCCCCCAGGGCATGTCAGAGATCTTTGAGGCAGTTCCTTCCATCATAGGCCAGGAGGTTAGGAGGGAAAAATGGTTTCCTGGGCCAGGCCCAGGGCCCTGCTGCTTTGTGCAGCCTTGGGACTTGGTACCCCAAGTCCCAGCCACTCTGGCTCCAGCCAGGGCTGAAAGGGGCCAAGGTACAACTTGGGCTGTTGCTTCAGAGGGTGCAAGCCCCAAGCCTTGTTTGGCCTGTGGATGTGCAGAAGACAAGAGTTGAACTTTGGGGGCCTCTGCCTAGATTTCAGAGGATGTGTGGAAATGCCTGGATGTTCAGACAGAAGTCTGATGCAGGGGCAGAGCCCTCATGGAGAACCTCTACTAGGGCAATGTAGGGGGGAAATGTGGGGTTGAAGCTTTCACACAAAGTCCCCACTGGGGCACTCCTGGTGGAACTCTGAGAAGACCACCATCCTCCAAACCCCAGAATGGTAGATCCACTGACAGCTTGCACTGTGCACTTGGAAAAGCCACAGGCACTCAACACCAGCCCATGAAAGCAGCTGCAAGGGCTGTACCCTGCATAGCCTCGGGGATGCAGCTGCCAAGGGCTGTGGGAGCACACCCCTTGCATCAGCATGCTCTGGATGTGATGTGAGACATGAAGTCAAAGGAGATTTTGGAGCTTTAAGACTTAATGATTGCTTGGCTGAGTTTCAGACTTGCATAGGGCCTGTGGCCATTTTGTTTCGCCCCATTTCACCCATTTGGAACAGGAACGTTTACCCAATGCCTGTACCACCATTGTATCTTGGAAGTAACTAACTTGTTTTTTATTTTACAAGCTCATAGGTGGAAGGGACTTTGTCTCAGAAAAGACTTTAGACTGTGGTCTTTTGAGTTAATGCTGGAATGAGTTAAGACTTTGGGGGACTGTTGAGGAGTCATGATTGGTTTTGAAATGTGAAAAGGATATGAGATTTAGGAGGCATCGGGGTGGAATTATATGGTTTGGCTCTGTGTCCCCACCCAAATCTCATCCCTAATTGTAATCCCCACATGTGGAGGGAGGGACCTGGTGGGAGGTGATTGGATCATTGTGGCAGTTTTCCCTATACTGTACTAATCATAGTGAGGGAGTTCTCGTGAGATCTGATAGTTTAAAAGTGGCAGTTTCCCCTGCACACACTCTCCTGCTGCCTTGTGATAAAGGTGCTTGCTTCTCATTTTCCTTCTGCCATGATTAAGTTTCCTGAAGCCTTCCCAGCCATGCAGAACTGTGAGTCAATTAAACCTCTTTTATTTATAAATTACCCAGTCTCAAGTAGTATCTTTATAGCAGTGTGAAAATGGACTAATACAATAGTATTGTAAGGCTATGCCACCTTTTGTTTATTCATTCATCAGTTGATGGGCATCAACTGAAGATTATTTAATATGGGGATTGTATTGCTCTGCTGGGGCTGCCATAAGAAAGTTCCACAGACTGGGTGGCTTAAAAAACAGACATATATTTTTTCTCACAGTTCTGGAGGCTGGAAATCCAAGATCAGGGTGCTAGCATGGTTGTGATTTGGTGAGAACCCTTTTCTGTGTGTATGAGGAGAGAGAGACACACACACACACACACAGAGAGAGAGAGAGAGAGAGAATGCTCTGGCATCTCTTTCTCTTTTTATAAGGACACCAGTCTCACCCTTATTACCTCATTTAACCTTAATTACTTCCTTAAAAGACTTATTTCTAAATACAGTCACACTGATACTTTGGGGATTAGGGCTTTAACATAGGAATTTTGGGGGGACCCAATTCAGTCCATAACAGGGATACTATATCGTATTTGGGTGTTGAATGAGAGTGATCTAGCACCGAGTTTCTCAACCTCAGCATTATTGGCATTTTGGAAAAAATAATTCTTTGTGGTGGGGGCTGTCCGGTGCATCCTGAGGTGTTTAGCAGCTTCCCTGAGCTCTACCCATTGCATCCCAGTAGCACAACTCAGCAGTGACAACCAAAAATGTTCCCACCCATTGTCAAATGTTTCTTTTGGAGTGGGGAGGCAAAATTGCTTTCGGTTGAGAACCACTGATGGAGTAGAAAGGAAATTAATGATGCAAGAGAGAGAAAGAGCAGATAATTGCAAGCACAAAGTCTTTGAATAGACAGCAGGAGATGGAATTCAGTGTAATGACTGGCCCTAGATGGGAGCAGAGAAAGAATTTTGGGGGGACCCAATTCAGTCCATAACAGGGATACTATATCATATTTGGGTGTTGAATGAGAGTGATCTAGCACTGAGTTTCTCAACCTCAGCATTATGGACATTTTGGAAAAAATAATTCTTTGTGGTGGGGGAAAAGAGAAGTGATGGATGTGCTGATGGGAGCATGTGCTTTCTTCTTGTATTTCTTAGTGAAATTAGTCATCTATGGAGGGGACAGCACTGCAAACTGTGTACATGGCTACCAGAGAACAAACCATGTTTTACTGAAGACCTTCCCTGAGAAAAAGCGAATTGTTATTTCTTTGGGAGCTAATACTGACACAGTCCTCCTCCTTTGAATGCATAGCACGTGTGTTTAACCCACTTAGAGTTCAACGCATGTTAGAGTTCTCAGTGTATGTGCCCTGCCAGATTGCAAGTTAATGAAGACAAGAACTAGCTTGTGCATATCTGCATCTCTCACAACAAATAGCTCAGTCTACACTAGGTACTCAGTAAATGTTGAATTGACATGCATTTCCATTGAAATTATAGTATCTTTACTTTCTAACAAATTTGTCTCATAAAACTAGCAACTCTTCTGGGACATATTGGTGGACATAGAAATTGATACCTATTGCTATAATTTGGGAAAAGCTTTCCATTTCCTCCCCCAATAATAATCCTATCAATAATAACATTGGATAACATAAATCAGTACTTCTCAAGCTTCAATCTCCATATGAATAAGCTGGTGGTGCTCTTAAAATGCAGATTCCGACTCAGCAGGTGTGGAGTGAGGCCTGAGATTCTGCATTTCTGAAAAGCTCCCAGATAATGCTGATGCTCATGGTCCTGGACCGCAATTAGCTTAACAAAGTTCACAAAAGATTGGCCTGCATAAGTGGTTGGAAGAGGTTAATCACAGAGCCACCATCGCTGAAGGTGGGAAGGAGCTCTCAGGAAGGCGATGATAGGAGAGACAGCATGCCTCACAAACGCCACAGGACTTCATTAAACTCTGATGAGGACAACAGGAATCAGTCTCTTGCTATGGATTTAGAATTCAAAATGGCCTTGGTAGCTGAGAGATGGGGAGAGAAACCAACAAAAGCAAAGTTCAGAAAACACAAGCAAAGGGCATTGTGTTTGCAGAGAAAAAATCCAACCTTTTAAGTCTGTCATGGGCAATGACAGGGTAGATGCATGTGGAGCTGAAAAACTCTAAAAAATCACGTGGACCCTGGGTTGATCATGAGTTAATAATACAGTGCTCTGGTTTGGAAATCAAGTACAAAAGTAGAATACACAATTAGAAACTGAAGTAATATCCATTATATTCAGTACTGCCCAGAAACTTGCTAGAATTCTGCAACTAGTTTTGAGTTATATGAACCCAGAAAGATGCAGAGAACTCAAAGAAGGTTCAGGTGAGAGCCTCAAGAATTATTAAATGGTTGAGAAATAAGATTTACTGTTTAGAAGAGAAGGCTGCAGTAGTATTTTGTCTACAAAGGGGTGTGTTTCTCAAGGAAGCAGTGAGCAGTTCTTTCATATTTCTTCTGAGGATCTGCTCAGATGAAATGTCTTTACTCCAAATGTGATTTTGGTTGGATATGAAAAAGTCTCTAATACAGAGGGTTTTTCAGTGTTGGAATGTGCTACCAAGGCAAGTTCATGAATATGTTGCCTGCTAGAGGGCTTTTTCTATTTAATGGGAATTGTTAAGTGGAGCCCAACGTGAAAACAGAGAGATGGCATAGCTACAATTATGAGCGCTGTCCCCTGAGGACCAAGGTGATGGATAAATGGATTGGTTGCTTTCCTTCTCAAGGTCCCTGAAGATTCCAGTGCCAGGGGATCACTCAGGGGTGTCATAACTGAGAGCTTCTGAGCATCCTGGACATATCAAGTGAGTCGAGGATGATGGGGCTTGTGTGGTAGACTCCAGGTAGGATTCCAGGTGGTTGACATCTTCACTTTCTGGTCTGGTCCTCAGAGCCGGACAACACCACACCAGTAAAGTGGAGTCTTCCTTAAATGCACAGTTGGCCTGGAAACTGAGGTCAAATAAAAGTCCGGTGGTGGGATTTACATAGGGAGGGGCAGTGATTCATACTCATATGAAAATCCAGCAGGTTATACACATGGGTGACATACTGAGTTAGGTAGAAAACAGGGCATGGTGGGGACTACAGAGCTACATGAGCTACACCAGGGCATGGTGGGGACTACAGAGCTCATTCAAAGGGCAGATGCAGCCACATTGCTGCCATTCGAGAATGAGGGCATCACATTATCAGATCTCTTGAGCTTTCAAGGAAAGTCAGAAATCTGGGCTTTTAGTGCACGTCTCCAAATTCTAAAATACATCTGCAAGTGCCCATTGATGGATGAATGGATAAGCAAAATGTAGTCTATCCACACAATGGAATATTATGCAGCTCTGCAAGGGAAGGATGTTCTGACCCATGCTACAACATGGATGAGCCATGAGGATGGCTATGCTCAGTGGAATAAACCAGTCACAAATAATTTGATACGGTGTTATTACACTTAAATGAGGCATAAAAATCATAGAGACAGGAAGTATAATGGTGGTTGCTAAGGGTTGGAGAGAGGGGAAATATGGGGAGTTATTGTTTAATGGGTAGAGAGTGTCAGTTTTGCAAGATGAAAATTTCTGGAGATGGATGATGGTGATGAGTGCACAACAATATGAATGTACTTAATACTACTGAACACTTAAAAATGGTTAAGATGGTAAATTTAATGTTATGTGTATTTTACAACAATAAAAAACTAGAAAATAGAGTCATAGGATCCAGCAATCCCATTTCTGGGTATATATCCAAAGAAATTGAAATCCAGATCTCAAAAAGGTATCTCACTTCCATGTTCATTGCGGCATTATTCACAATAGCCAAGGTATGGAAACAACCTACATGTCCATTGGTGGGTGAATGGATAAAGAAAATGTGATGCAACAATTATCCCCCAAATCTGAGGGGGATTGGTTACAGACACCCAGACACCAAAATCCACAGATGCTCAAGTCTTTGATATAAAATGGTGTAGTGTTTGCATATGACCTATGCACATTGTCTTGTCTACTTTTAATAATCTCTAGATTACTTATAATAACTAATATGATGTAAATGCCATGTAAATAGATGTTATATTGTATTGCTTTAAAATGTGCATTATTTTTTGTTGCTTTTCCCCCCAATACTCTTGATCCATGGTTGATTGAATCTGCAGATGTGGAACCTACGGACATGGAGGGCCAACTTCACATATAATGAAATATTATTTGGCCGTAAAAAGGAAGGAAATCCTGCCATTTATGACAACATGGATGGACCTGGAGGACATTATGCTAAGTGAAATAAGCTAGACACAGGAAGCCAAATACTGCCTCATCTCACTTCTGTATAAAACCTAAACTAGTTAAACACATAGAAGCAGAGAATAGAATGGTAGTTGCCAGGAGCTGGAGGGAAGGGGAAATGGGGAAGTATTGGCCAAAGAGTTCAATTTGTGTAAAGTTTCAGTGTGCAAAATAAGTAAATTCTGGAAACCTCCTGTGCGATATAGGGCATATGATTAACACCACTATATTGTGTTTTAAAAAATTTGCTAAGAAGGTAGATTAAGAAAAACAAAGAAAACCAAAAAACCCAAAGGCAGCAGAAGGACACTTTTGGAGATAATGGAAAAGTTTATGGCATTAATATTGGTAGTGATGATGGTTACATGGGTGTATGCTTATCTCCAAACACATCGAGTTGTATACATTAAATATCTATAGCTTCTTGTATGTCAATTATATCTCAATAAAGCGGTTTAAAAAATTGGATAAAATATTTCGGCAAACACACCAATTCTCAATAGCCCCATGCTGCCCAACACCACAGAAGCCAAGCAGACCCAGCCACACTCTGGATTTGGTCTACAGGTTATGAGGCTGACCTCCAGGATAAACTAAGAACTGAACTGCAACTGGTGGGCAAGAACCAAGGGGGAGTTCAAGCCCTCAGAGACGGTGCCAGCCATGATATCGAGATCTTCCCTGCAGCCCAGGGCCAAAATTACAAAAGCTTCCACTGTGTGACTTTTATTATGTGGGTGAGTTACAGAAAACAGATGCTTCACTGAATTAACTGGATCACTGCATCTGCGTAGACATGTCATCCAGTATACTCATGCGATGTCACTCATCTGCCCCCTCCTACATAAATGATACACAAAAAAGTCAACAATCAGAGAAACCCAAGCTCCTGGATGTCAACATCCACTTCTGCTTGGAGTTGGTTCCTTTCATGGAGACATACACCCCTCGCCACACACCTGCCACCTCCCTGACCCTCGCAATCCCTGGCATGAGAAGCTCCACCTTGTCAAGAGCAGACATTCTGAAAGGCTGAAGCCAGGAACCTTAAAGGAAACATTCTGCCAAGTCCACCACGTAGGATCAATGGAGATGGTGGTAGTGTGGTTATTGGCTTACCCAGCTCTGGGTGTAGAGTGCTTTGGGGAGGAGGAAGGAAGAAGAGCTGATCCTGCCTTCTCAGGGCTTTAGCACATAATGGTGATATATTGTTTTTCTACAAGTTGCCATTAAATAATGATGAGATTTTACTAACAGTCACTTACCGAGGCTATGCTGTGCCAGGCAGTGTGCTGGGTGCAGGGTCTTTCTGATTCCTGTTCCTGAATTATTTGCTCTGTGAGGAGAACTGGACAAGTAAGACAATGGTTTCTGTTCTGTTGGATTCTTTAACTCAGTTGGAGTTCACAGCAATGGAACAGTTGAAGTGTTTTGTTTTTGTTTGTTTTTCTTTTCTATGTATTTTATGAGATCAAAATGAGACAAGATGGGGTGTCTCTGTTCTTTCTGCTACTAGGAAAAAATGTGTTTTATTTCTGTTTTCAGTAGAAATAATTGTAAATTCTGAACTGCACAGAGAGCCCTCACACATAACAGGTTCAGGAATAATTCTAGGAGAGTCACATGGTTTTCCTTGGCCTGGAGGAAAAAAAAATCTGCTTAGTTGTATGTTGGATTGTTGCTCAAATGGATAGATCAGTGGAGAGCCTTTTGTGGGAGAAATTGTGCCATACAATTTCAAAATGGTATCTTTATTCATTAAATGCTTTAATGTCTAGACATTGAGCTGGATATTCTAAGGACATGAAGGTCCTTGTCCTCACAAGTTTAGAGTAAAAATAATAACTACTATTTTGTTGAGGACTTATCCTATGCCAAACTCTGTACACGTAATTTTGTTCAATCTTCCCAGTAACACTTCTGAAATAATCAATATTATCCATTTCATAAAATGGATGAAACTTGAGGCTGTAAGAGCATGTTAAGAATGTATTCAAGGTCACATAACTAGCAAATGGCCGGGCAGGGATATTTTTGCCATTAAAGTTTATAATTTAACCATCGCTCTATCCTGTCTCCTTTAGATTTAATATGAGAAATGAGATTCACACACAAGTGAAAATAGAGCATTGTTGATTGATCCTATCTGAAGTAACCTCTTGCTGTCAGAGCCACATTTTCCGACTGTCTTTACTGTTGGCAGGTGTTTATCCTCTGAAAATGAACTTGACTTTTGGAAACAGCCAACATCCTTGGCATCAAGCCTGGCAGGTGTGGTGGTCACTACCACTGCCATTCTGAAATATGGTGAGACTGAAGTATTGCCACTGACTTGAAAACATTTCCAAGTGAAGCATTTAGAAATGTTTTATTTTGTTAAAAACAGCTTTATTGAAATATAATTTACACACTATTCAATTCCCTTAAAGTATACAATTCAATAATTTTTGTATAATCACAGCATTATACAACTGTCACCACAATCAATTTCAGACAGTTTTTGGAAGCCCCCAAAGAAACCCTATGCCCTTCAGTCATCACTCTTCAGTCCCCCATCTCATCCCAAGCCCTTGGCAACCACTCATCTACTTTCTGTCTCTATTGATTTGTTTTCTGCATGTTTCATATGAACAGAATTATTTAATATGTGGTTCCTTGTGACTAGCTTCTGTTTTGTTTTGTTTCTTTGTTTTTAACCACTTTATTGAGATATGATTGACATACAAAAGCGGTAGAAATGTAGTGTATACAACCCGATGTGTTTGAAGCTCTGTGTACACCCATGAAACCATCATCACAAGCTATGCCGTAATCTTATTCATCACCTCCTAATGTTTCCTCTTGCCACCTTTGTTTTTCTGTTCATTTTGTCTTGTTTTCCTTTTGTGCTAAGGGTACTTATCAGATCTACCCTCTTAGTACATTTTTAAGTATGGAGTATTTTAATCATATGCCCTACGTTGCACACTAGATCTATAGAGCTTACATATCTTTCATGACTGAAGCCTTGCACCCTTTGTGGAAGAAAGTGTTGACTTTCTGAAAACAGCTGTTGCAGATGCTTGGTTCTGGCCAGTGATGATTCTCTCATTTTGTCCCAGCTTCTTTGCATCCCTGGAGGAATGAATGACCTCCCCATGTGCTGGGGTTGAAGTTATGGTTGATAACAGCATACTGCAGATTGACCACCCAGTGACACACTGTCATCTCCTACATGTCAGAGAGTCACTGCTCATCTTTCCCCTTTGTCCGTTTGGATTGGAGTGTCAAGCTCTGGCCTGGGCTTCAGAACTTCCAGGATGGCATGTGGCTCTCACAGAGAGTCTCCTCCAGCTCCCGTTCACCTTGGCTGGGGCTCTGGGCTCCTTCCTGATCTTTCAGATGCTCTAGGTCATGCCGATTATAGCCTTACCTTGCACCCCACCAGACAGAAACAACTACCCCAGGGGCAAGCCAGGCTCGAAGGATTTTGCTTCAAGAACCTTCCACACAAATGTGTTTCATTTGGGATTTCAAAGCATCTATCTACCTTCTGTCTTCCTCTGTGTCAAAGGCTCTTCATTTGTGGTCCACATGACCTCAGACAAGTTATTTCACCACCCAAGGCCTTTGTTTCCTCATCTTTAAAATAGTGGTGGTAGGGTGATGAATGGGACCCACTTCATTCAGCTGTTATTTGAAACAGCACAGACTTGGCTGCTTGACTTGACATGAATCCACCCACTTTCTATGAGTTTGGGGTGAGTAACTTCTCTGAGCCTCTGTTTCCCCAGCTGTACCATGGAAGCAATGCTTTGTATGCCATAGTTTTGTTGTGAGGATTAAAGAAAAGAACATATGCATGGAGGTTAAGTCAGACCATGAAATACAGAAAATGCTCAATATTAATTATTATAATCTTACTGTGTACTCTTGAAAGTTTATAAGTTTATGAATAATTTTGGAGGGATGCAGCCCATGAATTTTCTGCAATTATTTGCAAATATTTGTGTGTCTATCATGTGAACCTTTTCTGGGACAAGTTTCCATAATACTCATCTGATTCTCAAAAAGTCTACCTTGGCCTGGCATGGTGGCTCACACCTGTAATCCCAGCACTTTGGAAGGCCGAGGTGAGAGGATTGCTTGAGCCCAGGAGTTCCAGACCAGCCTGGGCAACATAGCGAGACCCCATCTTTACAAAAAATTTAAAAATTAGCTCAGTATGGTGGCACGTGCCTGTAGTCCCAGCTACTCAGGAGGCTGAGGTGGGAGGACTGCTTAAGCCCAGGAAGTTGATGCTGCAGTAAGCCGAGATCACATCACTGCACTCCAGCCGAGGTGACACAGTGAGCCCTAACTCAACAAGAACAAAAAGTCCATCTCCCTGTTTCCCAAAGTTGAGAACCTAGATGTTTAGACATGAAGACCTCATGAACACAAGACACAAGCTCCAGAATGGGGTTGCAAATCTGCCCTGTCCACGCTCTATTTCCTGTGTTTGAACTTGAAACCTTGAGATTAAGTCTCTTCTCAGTCCACAGCCAGCGCCCCACCCCAGGCCTTTTATTCGTGTTATTTGTGTGCAGGTTGTGTATTGTGGCCAGCTGCCTTCCTGGCTGAACTGTGAGCTCCTCGAAGGCCAGGGCTTAATTTTTCCTGTGTCCCCAATAATGGGAGGCTAAGCACAGATCTCTAAACCAGGCAAATGCTCTGGAAATACTCATGAAATAACTAGATGTCGGGGTTCCTTAGAGCAGTGTCCTGAGGAACCTCCAGGAACCATCACTCTGCAACCCAAGTTGGGAGAAGAATTGAGGGATAATCTGAAATACACAGACTCAGATCCCAGTTTGGGGTTGAACTCATTTCCATCTTCTGGTGGTACAAGTTTCCTTTCTCCAGTGTGATTGCTTGTACAGGTTGGGACAAGTTGGTAAAACTGGAAATAACAACTTTGCTCGCAAATGCATTGGCTAGCCTCACTGAGGCAATTTTGATGGAAAGAGAAAGGGCAAAGCAGGTAATACCTGTTATGCATTGTAAAATAAAACTGCTGTCAGGCTAAAAGAAATCTTTTGCTTGTCTTGCCCAAGAGATTCAGGGAAAATTGGTGGCATTTTTGGCCTGAAATCTGGACTGTTGCCATAATATTCTGATTGACTTGGGAAAATGGTTTTCTTGGAACATAGAAATCTAGGTACAGAGACAAGAGCTTTCTTAAGTTCTGTAGAAGTACTAGGAGTAGATTAAAAAGAGTGAGTCCTATCAAGTTTGGTAGATTCAGAAGAGGCATTATCGCTGGGTGCAGTGGCTCATGCCTGTAATCCCAGCACTTTGGGAGGCCAAGGTGGGCAGATCATGAGGTCAGGAGTTCGAGACCAGCTTGACCAACATGGTGAAACTTCGTCTCTACTAAAAATACAAAAATTAGCCAGGCACAGTGGCACGCACCTGTATTCCCAGCTACTCCAGAGGCTGAGGCAGGATAATCGCTTGAACCCGGGAGGTGGAGGTTGCAGTGAGCCAAGATTGCAGCACTGCACTCCAGCCTGGGCAACAGAGTGAGACTCTGCACCCGGTGTGAGCCACTGCACCCAGCCCGTATCTTGCAATTTTCACTTAACCATTCACAGAAGCATTTTTCTTAAAGAGATAGTCTTTGTAACCACCATAATTAGTAGTCATATAACATTTTATTGAGTGTATGTACCATAATTTACTTAGATATTCTCCTACTGATGAATCTTTAGATTGTTTCTCTGGTGTGCTATTATACTGAATGCCACAGCAAACATCTTAGTGGAGAAAGGTTTTCTGCAGCTTGAATCATTCTCCTAGGCTTGGTTCCCAGAAGGAAAATCAGAGCCCTGGATCAGCAGGTATGGAGGCGTGGATGCTTTCAGAGTGCCTTTCCCCACTGTTCTTCAAGAGGCCTGTACCAGTTTACACTGGCAGCTGCAGAATACGAACGTTCCAGGGTTCACAGCTGAGTTTTTGTTTACATGGTAATATAGAAATGGACTGCCTGGCATGATCTTCTCATGGCCTATTGCCCCTAGGACTGCTCTGTGGACAGATAGGAGGAGGCAGGTCTACTTCCTGGGTCACCAAATGCTCTGGAATCATAACCTCACCTTCTCTCCTCTAAGACAGATTATCCTTGCTCATGGTCCAGAGTAGACTTAGGGCATTCTTTTTTTTTTTTTTTTTTTTTTTGAGACAGAGTCTCACTCTGTTGCCAGGCTGGAGTGCAGTGGTGTGATCTCAGCTCACTGCAACCTCTGCCTTCTGGGTTCAAGCGATCCTCCAGCCTCAGCCTTCCAAGTAGCTGGATTACAAGCACAAGCCACCATGCCCAGCTAATTTTTGTATTTTCAGTAGAGACAGGGTTTCACCATGTTGGCCAGGATGGTCTTGATCTTGTGATCCACCCGCCTTGGCCTCCCAAAGTGATGGGTTTACAGGCGTGAGCCACCGCGCCGGGCCCAGAGTTAGGGCATTCTGAAGCCCAAAACCAGAGAAGGCTGAGGAAATTAGCAGGTAGAATCTACAGTGCAGGTTGCAGTGAGACTCTTGAGCCAGGCCTTACCCATCGCTTTCTCTTGCTTGGCATTGTTGCCAGGGAGTGAGAAAGTCAAGCTGCTGCTTTGCATTAGATCTCAGCCTTCCCAGGAGCACTTTATTTGGTGAGTGGCCAAGACAATCAATATTTATTGTTCTGCCAATCGTGTTCATAGATTCAGGATTGCATCCGCAGCACCTAGAACATGGCCTGGAGAGAGTGGGCACTCAACATCTATTTGTTGAGTGCAAGAATGACCGAGTAGCAGAATGGGGGCAAGAAAGGCTTTATTTCATATGAGGCATATTGCAGGCAATGCTGTTTCCTGACCAAATGTAGATTTCGCTCTTCTTTATTGACAGAACTTTCCTTTCATGTACGGTTGCAGTGTACCTGATGAATCCGCTCATTTCCCCAGGCCCCTTGCATCTAGGGGCAGCCATGGGACACAGTTTGGATCCATAAGATGTGCAAGTGCAGCCTCAGAGTCTCTGGGGAAGCAGATTTTCTTCTTTCCTGCTTTCCCCCATTTCTTTTTGTGAGCTTGAGGTAGAGCAACCATCTTACCACCAAAAGATGACAAACCTGAGGATGAAAGTCACAGCCTGAGGATGGGGCCGAGTAAAGAAAGGAGGAGTGAGATGCTGAGGTCGTCCTGGGGCTGCCGCATCAGCCCAGGACGCTGTAGTTTTGAGAAAAATTGAACTTTTCTTGGATAAGCCACTGTGATTTGGTTTTCTGTTGTACGCAGCTGAATGCCATCCTTTCTGATACAAGGAACTTGAGGCCCAGGAAGTTTCATTTGTCCAAGGTCATGATGATCGTATGGGCCAGAAATAAGACCAGACCTAGGTCTACATAGTTAAGCCAGCCCTTTGATTTCCCCAAACACCCCTTGTCACTAGGACCAATTTTAGATCGGAAGAGCCCTCAAAAACACTTTGAGATTATGTGCATTTGCAAGTATTTTGGGAAGAGACTTGGTAAATACCGTCTTCTGACCTGCTGGGGAAAAAGGATTTCATGAGAATACTTATGCACACAAGGGTTTCACCTTTATAGTATAGGCTCTAGTCTAGATATGAGCTCCCTGGAGGGATATTTACTTAGTAGGAGAGAAGATAAAATATTAGAAGGCGTTTTTTTTTTCTTTAGATTGCCATCAGCTTTGTTAACCCTGTCCTCATATTTCATAGAAAATTAAACATTGAACCTGAAAAATTGGATTTGGCATTTGATATTTTAAAACTCTGACATGGCCTTCCATATTTTTTTGTTGTTTTATTTTTAGGAAAGTCTAGAAAAGGCTGCGGATACAACTGTCAGTGTGTATTGTCTTGATTTTCTCCTACTGTGTTAAAATATGGCCCCTTTGGCAATATTTCTCAAAGAACTGTCTTTAAATGACATTTGAAAACCATCTACCCTGTTCACGTAGTTTTGTTCCTGGATAAATCGTCTTCTGCTTTATGGAAGTGACTTATAAAAGAGACTCAGATAAAAGAGAGAATGAGGGTTAAGCTCATGTGATGTCTCATTGGCTGAGATGAACCAGCAAAGAAGTATTTTCATAAATCAACCAGAGTGTTTTCCTTTGAAAGCCAGAGAGGAAAGTACTGCTGAGAGGTTTGTATCTGGTGCATTTGTCAGCAACAGGTAATTTCCCAGAGGTGGGATGAGCAAAACCATACTTTCAGTCCATTATTTAAGCATCATCCTACAGTTTAGAAAACAATTTAATGAATGAATAAGACCTATTTGATAGCACAATTGGGTGACTATACTCAATAATAATTGTATATTTTTAAATAGCTTAAAGAGTATAATTGTATTGTTTGTAACTCAAAGGATAAATACTTGAGAGGATGGATACCCCATTCCCCATGATGTGCTTATTTCACATTGCATGCCTGTATCAAAACATCTCATGTACCCCATACTCATGTACCTACTATGTACCCAGAAAAAATTTTAAAATAATTTTAAAAATTTAAAAAAAGAGGCCGGGCACAGTGGCTCACGCCTGTAATCCTAGCACTTTGGGAGGCCAAGGTGGGTGGATCACAAGGTCAGGAGATCGAGACCATCCTGGCTAACATGGTGAAACCTCATCTTTACTAAAAATACAAAAAAAAATTAGCCAGGTGTGGTGGCGCGTGCCTGTAGTCCCAGCTACTTGGGAGGCTGAGGCAGGAGAATGGCGTGAACCCAGGAGGCAGAGCTTGCAGTGAGCCAAGATTGCACCACTGCACTCCAGCCTGGGCGACAGAGCAAGACTCCGTCTCAAAAAAAAAAAATTAAAAAAAAGAATGGGCCAGGCACGGTGGCTCACGCCTGTAATGCCAGCACTTTGGGAGGCCGAGGCTAGTGGATCATGAGGTCAAGAGATCGAGACCATCCTGGTCAACATGGTGAAACCCTGTCTCTACTAAAAATACAAAAATTAGCTGGGCATGGTGGCGCACGCCTGTAGTCCCAGCTACTGGGGAGGCTGAGGCAGGAGAATAGCTTGAACCTGGGAGGCGGAGGTTGCAGTGAGCTGAGATCGCACCACTGCACTCCAGCCTGGCAACAGAGTGAGACTCCTTCTCAAAAAAAAAAAAAAAAAAAAAGAATGAATGCTTTAATAAAAGAAAATAACCTAAGGACAATGGATGTCAGTGCCATGCCCACTGCTTATGACTGCTACGCACCAGCCAGTTTCCATGGGGCATGTTTTCGTGGTTGCTGCACTCACTCCCATTGTTCCCTTCAGATGTGAATACACATCATAAAATGTCAGATGACTTCCTCCAGCTGACATGCTGACTCTGACTCAGCTCTGCCCTTCTCTTCATGTTCTTCACTGGCCATAAGTCCGAAGACATCCGGATGCTGTGGGATCCTGAATAGCTCTTGTGTCTTAGTCCTGTCCTTCCACCACATCTCAGAAGCCATGCCAATGACACAGCTGTGTCTGGAGGGGACGCTGTGCCTGCTGCCACCACTTGCCCTCAGCCCAGGGGTGGAATCAATACTGAGGATGACAGAGGGACAGATGGAAAGTCCTCCGTGACACTCACTATCAATCACATTGCATCTGGAGCTCGCCTTGTCTCTGGATTCCTGGTTACAGGGACAATAACTGTTCTTCTGGTTAAACCAGTTGAATCAGATGTTTATAAATGGCAGTCAAAAGTATGGACATGTCTAGGAAGGGCTGAAACTCTTGCAGTAACCCAGCCAATCATCTGTGATGTCATCTTGTCTGGCAGCCTGTTAAGCCATAATCCATCTCTTATAGCTTGAAAAGCAACAACTGCTGGTGGCTACCAGATTTAACAAGAAAGCATAGAGGATGTCCAGTGAAATCTGAATTTCAGATAAACAATAAATAATTTTTACAGCATTACCATGTCCCACATATTGCATGAGACACACTGATATGAAAATACCACTGCTTGTTTATCTGAAATTTAATTTAACTGGGCATCCTGTATTTTATCTGACAACTCAACTGTAGGTAGGCCCCGGGGGAGACTTTTGGGGTGCCTGTGAGGGTGCATGGGTTCTGCCAATCCTGGGGTCCTGAAAACATATTTGTGTAGGACTCATTTGAAATTAAAGACCATTCTCTGGGGAAGCCATTTCCCTAGTAAGTGAAAGAGAACCCTGTGGTTCTCTCACTAGTGAGCCCCTCCCTAGTGGGCAAGGTAAGTCTTCTATTTTTATTGATTGATTGATTGATTGAGACAGTGTCTCACCCTGTCTCCCAGGCTGGAGTACGGTGGTGCAATCATGGTTCACTGCAGCCTCAACCTGCTGTGCTCAAACAATCCTCCCACCTTGGCCTCCTGAGTAGCTGGGACTACAGGTGCATGCCACCACACCCAGCTAATTTTTGTATTTTTTAACACGGTTTCACTATGTTGCCCAGGCTGGTCTCAAACTCTGGACTCAACCAAACCTTCTGCTTCAGCCTCTCAAAGTGCTGGGATTACAGGTATGAGTCTCAGGGCCCAGCTATTTTCTTTTCCCCTCTTCTTTGTACCTTGGCCTGTGGTCGGAGCACAACGTATCCTTTTTCTTCCTTCTTCCCTTTCTTCACAACTGACCCCCACCTCAGACTCCAGAGTATGCTGGGCTGTGGCTGCCTGACAGGTGGACCTTGTCCTCTGGGAGTGTCTGTTCTTTCTCATCAGCAGGGATGCTTCTCTCTCTGGTCCTGGAAAGTAGTGGGCAAAGGAAGCCTTTCAGGCAGCAGGTGGGGGTTGATTGCCCCAGAAGCCCTTGGTTTCTGGTGTCTGCTCTGGGATCCTGGCATCTAGTTCTACTGACCCTCTTGGCTCAGGAGCTGATTGGATGCCCAGGACCTGCCTTAGGGTGTCACCAAAGAGGGACTGATCCCTCTCCACATCCCACCCTTAATGGAAATGAAACAAATGTCTTTTCCCCTTAGTTGAGATCAGACTGGACTCTTAAGCAGCAGCCTTTCTTATTTAGGAAACTGGAAAATCAAAGCAAACACAGTAGTCCAAACATATAAATGGCTGTGTTTGCAGAGGCCACTTTCTGGTCCTAACCTTCTCTGTCATAGAGCAGATGCGAAGAATCCAGTCTTGAAGCTTTCCCATCCTTTCAACCTCTCTGGACCAGATAAGCAACTGAGATAGACTTGAGTGGTGCTGCCTGAGGCTGGCTGTGACTTTCACGTGCTCCCAACACCTGCTCCCACCTCCTACAGTACATTTCACTGCACGACCCCACCCTCGGGGACCCACTGGCTTCCCTCTCTGACCTTGAGGGGCTTGTCTCCCTGGTCACTCTCCCCTCCTATGCCTTCTTCCCCCTCCCAGGAGTCCCCACGGCTCTACTTCCATTTCCCTCTGTTCGGCTGTCCCTTCAGTGGAGACCTGAGTCCTCCCCAGGGGGTCCGGGGCTGCCTGCAGGTCATGTAGCCTTGGAGGCAGCCTCTGCCTTTCCCTGGATGTGTCTGCATCCCACAGCTTCCTGTGACAGCCAGTAAGGGACCCTTCTTCCCTTCTGTTTCTCTCTCCAGCCTCACGGTCCTTTGCCCCAGATACTAGACACCCACTTGTGTTTGCTGAGAAGTCTCTGGCCTTTGGTTCCTGCAAAGATAAAGATCTCGATGCCAGATTTCATTATCTTCAAAGAGCAGCAGTGACGTATGGCTTTATTTGGTTGCTAAACCATGTCAAGTTCACTTCCCTGGGGTTATAATAGTAGAAAGAAGAGAAAGAGAAACCAGTTTGTCAACAAAGACAACCTGGGAGATTTTCTAGAGTTCCAATTCTTATTCGATGGCCTTTTATTGAACTTTTACATATGTGACCTAACTTATTCCTTCTACAACTTTTTAAAAGGATGACAAAAGGGGCATATTCATGTGTCATTACTCCCCACCCAACTCTGTCTTCATTATGGGGCCCCCACCCTTATGTCTTTGTGATGGGCTGGAGTGGGCCTCTCTAAAATTTGTATCTTGAAGCCCTAACTCCCAGTATCTCAGAATGTGGCTGTACTTGGAGACAGGGCCTTTAAACAGGTCCATTAGGGTGGGCCCTAATCCAATCTGACTGTGTCCTCACCTCATGAGAAAAGGACATCCGGACACACAGAGACACCGGGGATGCTAAGGTGGAGAAGGGTGGTCATGTGGGGACACAGGGAGAAGACGCCGTCTGCAAGCCCAGGAGAGTGGCCACAGGAGATACCAACACTGCTGACACCTGGATCTTGGACTCCCAGCCTTCAAAGCTGTGAGGAAATAAATTTCTGTCATTTAAGCCCCCAGTCTATGGTACTTTGTTAAAGTAACCCTAGCAAACTACTCCAGTTTTTAAAATTGCTCACCAAGGTTATAGTCTTTCTGGTGTTGGGTACGGTGGGTTCCTCTTCAAAGAAGAGTCAGCTTGTTCAGCTTCCTTGTTCTTTGTTCTCTATTTTCAAAGAGTAACTTCCTCGTTCTTTATGCCCCCTTGCCTCTAATTATGGTAAACAATCTTCCCATCAGTCCTAATCTATAACTCACATCTATTCCCTACTCTGCAACTATCCTTTCTGCCTTTACTGCACCCTAAAATTGTAAGGGACAGCCTCTCCCTTCCTGCCTAGTTAGCCCTGTTCAATTTTAAACAGTAGCCAGTCAGGTCTCAGCTTAGATTGTGCAGTCCAACTCCAGCCAATGGGGAAAGGACACAGCTACAGAAGCTGCTGCATTAGGGATAAAAACTCCTGCCCCACCCTACTCAGTGTGCTCTTGTGATCATGTCTGGCGCCAGCTGCACCCTTCTGCAGAAGTAAATTTGCCTTGCTGAGAAAAAAATTTCTGTTTGAGTGCTGTTTCTTTTGCGGCACTGAAAACTTGTTTCAAACGCTGGCCTACTCTGAGGCTCCTGATGGTGGGTTGTGAGGGAAATTGAGAGAGGGCTGGGGTGACCAAGGGCAGCATTCCATGTGGGGCCATGCTCTCCTCCCCTGAACCCTTGCCCTCCTTTCAGAGCCCCCATCTTGGTTGTTGCTGCCATACCCTAATCACAGAAAGGACTCATGCGAAGGAGGGAATGGAGACTCTAGAAGACATCCAAGGGCTGTCCTCTGACCAGTATCCCAGTGATGTGAGGTCTGACTTCCCAAATCTTATGAAGACTTTGCTTAAGACTGTTTTTAAAAAATCCTTATAGAAAATGGAAGAAACAAGGAAAATGGAGGAAATGAGGGGAAAACTCTAATCCAATAGTGGTAATATTACCTTCTATTTGTGAAATGCATTAGAGGCTACTGTTAGAAATAAATTTTCAGTGCTGCAAAAGAAATAGCACTCAAACATAAATTTAATTTCCTCAGCAAGGCAAATTTTACTTCTGTGGAAGGGTGTAACTCATGGATGGGGCAATGGTGAGAGCACACCTGAACAAAGGAGGGGAGGGGGTTTTTATTCCTGATGCAGGTAGCCTCTACTGCTGTGTTGTTCCCCTATTGGCTAGGGTTGGACTTCACAGTCTAAGCTAATTCCGATTGGCTATTTTAAAGAGAGCAGGGGTATGAGTTGGAGTGGCAGGGTGAGTAGTTTGGCACAACAGGTGACTCAGGGTGACTCAGGATGACTCAGGTCAGAGCAGGTGACCAGAGGTGACTCAGGACAGAGCAGGTGACCAGGGGTGACTCAAGACAGAGCAGGTGATAGGGGCTGTGGTGGGGGGAGGGGTTGTTTACTGAAACTAGGGGCAAAGAGATAAAGAGAACAAGGAAGTTAAACTTTAAAATGAAGAACAAAGGACAGGGGAGCTGAACATACGGATACATTGGTTCCTTGGAGAGGATCTCAGAACTCATTGTACTTAACAATTTATAGGCTAAAACCTTTGAAGAGGAATTTATTATATCCTACATTACAAAGCAGTTAATACCAATGGTCCTTATTGGGCCTGTCTGGTGGATGGAGTAGGTATTATTTCCATTTCACAGATGAGGACGGTGAAGGTGGGCTTCTTGCCCAAAGCCATTCAAAGAGTAAAATGTGGAGACAGGACATAAATTCTGGTCCTGGAGCTGCACAATGTTCATGCTCTCCATTTTTTCCTGGAGCCTCTTCCTTGATGAAAACACTGAAATTCTTCTTCCACCACTTGGTGGAGGTGGGCTGGGTTCCCCACAGGTGTGTGGCACCAGGAACCCACCCTCTGTCCTCTCTGCTCCTTGGCTTTCCCCTCCTCCCCTTGAAGGACTGTGCTGTGATTTTGGCAGGTTGAAGGCAATAACACCCACTTTGGCAGCCCACAAGGCCTCTCTGCTGCAAAGCCAAATAGAAAGTCAAAGGCGGCTGTGTTTCTACCACCTCCAGGGTGCCTCCATTTAAAATTAAAGCTCAGCATGTTGTCTTTTAAAAATTCACAATTTATTATAAACGAAGAAGAAAAGCTCTTGTCGTAGCGATTAAGTTTTCAGAAGGATCACCTTTTAGCCAGGCTGTAAAACTGTGGCCACTGGAAGGCTGGAGTATTTAAAGAATGTGAGCTGAAGTTGTTTTTCTTGAGTCCTTTTTTTCATTTGCACAGTGCTAAGACATTTGTCATGAGAGGGACATTTCAGAGCTCTCAGGTCAAGTGCAATAAACTGGTAAACAACAGCCTGCCATTGAAGTGCAGATTTTTCTATCTATGCTTAAGGGTTATTTGCGTTGCCTGTCACCATCCCTGCTTCTTGTTGCTCTGGGCTTTCTGCTCTTCAGCTATGGCAGAAAACATAACCGGGTTGGGGTTTGGAAACTGGTCTGGCCTTGACTCTGAATTGTTGGCTCCCAGGGCCCCGACTGCCCAGGAAGCCTCTCCCTGAGACATGTGGAGCTAATGACTTCAAATATGGATTTAGAAGCCTCCGGGAGCAGCAGTGACGTATTATTTGGTCTCTAAAACTACTTCTTGGTTAAGTGCTAGTTCCAGCCCTTCCAGGCCACATTTCCTGTAGGAAAACACAGAGAACCCCTGTCTTCTTCATGGACATGCTCCTCCCAGCACTGAGTGTCTTTGCAAATCAGCACTTTCTAAGGGTTTTGGGAAAATCTGTGAAGGCTCACGCTATGGCCAAAATAAATCAAATAGGGTAAATATTCACTCTTTGGAGTCTTCTGTCCATTAGTTTGGGATGATAATTTAGGCTGGGGTGAGTTAGAAGCAAAAGGGGCAGCCTCTAAGGTGGTCCCCATGATCCTCCCTCCTGATAGTTTCACCTGAGTGTAATCCCCACCTCTTGAGTGTGTGTTGGGGAGTCCCTGTGACTTGCTTCTAACTGATGGAATATAGCAAGGGTGATGACTGTATGACTTCATTACATAACATATATAAGACTGTCATCCTAGCAAATCACTCTGACTCTTGTGCTGGGTTTGAGGAGGCAAGCTGCCACATTGTGGAGTGCCTATGGAGAGGGCCATGTGGCAGGGAACTGAGGGCAGCCTCCAGCTGGCAGCCAGCAAGACATCGGAAGCTCTCAGTCTTACAGCTACAGTGAAAGACAGTCTTCCAACAACCCGAGTGAGCCTGGAAGCAGCTGCTTCTCTCGTTGAGCCTCCAGATGAGAACACAGCCTGACCATCACCTTGATTGCAGCTGCGAGACCCTGCGGCAGAAGACTCAGTCCATATCCAGATTTTTGATTCCCAGAAACTGGGAGACAATACATGTGTGTTGTTCAAAGCTGCTAAATTTGTGGTAATTTGTTACATAGCAATTGATAATAAATACAAGGGGCATGCAGAATACATTAATAAGGAAACCCGCATCACAGGAGTGCTGTGCAGCTACCAGATAAGGAAAGCTATGTAAGCCTCTTTGAAAGCACCATTTGCGCCTAAGAATAGGCAACTATTTTGACTTCTTAGCCATCCTTTTAAGAAGATGCGGAAGAAATGCTTCAAAAAAATTATAGGGAAAAGCAGTGGATTTGTCACTTCCTGCATGTGTGCTCTTGTAGAAAAAGCAATCCCAACAAAGGTTTAGCAAGTGTTGAGACCACAGTTGTGGGAGTAAGCTGGCCACTGATGTGCACAGGAGGCCACTGTGGCTGGGGCAGAGTGGGGCAGGAGGACAGGGAAGGAGAGCAGGTCAGGGAGATGAAAGAGGCTTGAGGGGTTAAATAGGCCCTTGCAGTCACTATGAAGATTTTGCCTTTTGCTGCATGGGCTGGGAGACTGTTCAAGGGTCTGAGGAGTGCTTGGGAGAATGATCTAACCCAACAGACTCTAGAACTACTTGTGCTCTCATCCTCATCTGTGAGTTGTTTCAGAGAAGGCAGATGCCTGGGTGGCAGAGACTTTGATTCATTTCTGGATCTCTCATGCTACCTAGCACAATGTCTGATATATTAGCTGCCCAGTAAGTGTTTGTTAAATTGAACAGACTGTACAAACCATCCATATTGCTGTGAGATTTTTGACATTCTGAAGAACTGAAGCCCCAAACAGTCTCACATTGTTTAACTGGCATTAGAGCTATTGATATAACCAATGAAAGAAAAGGTAAAGCTATGTTGATAAGTAGGACATTTCTGGGTTTTTAATCCTTCCCCAAAGTTCATGAAAAAGAAAACCAGTGGGCAGATGTTACCCCAGGTGGGTGACAGGCACCCCTTTCTCTGCCAGTGATTCTAAGGAAGATGGGATGGAATAAGACCTTTTTGCTTCTCCTGGTGTGTGTTGGGGGGGGTGTCCCCTCCTGCAGGGACCTCGTGTGGCTTAGCCTATAGCTCCTGCTGCTTAAACTATGGCTGGTCTATTCATCAAGTTAAGCTTTTTTTTTTTTTCAGAGAGTGTCTCGCTCTGTTGCCCCGGCTGGAGTGCACTGGCACGATCTCAGCTCACTGCAACCTCCGCCTCCTGGGTTCAAGCGATTCTCATGCCTCAGCCTCCTGAGTAGCTGGGATTATAGGTGCACACCACCATGCCTGGCTAACTTTTGTATTTTCAGTAGAGGCAGGGTTTCGCCATGTTGGCCAGGCTGGTACCGAACTCCTGACCTCAGGTGATCTGCTGCCTCAGCCTCCCAAAGTGCTGGGATTACAGAAGCGAGAATCAAGTTAAACTTGAGGCTCCCACTCTGCTGTTATCATGAATGCTTTGCTTCTTCCTCAGAAGAGTGAGGATCCAACAGAAACTCGGAAAACCAATAATTCTGTTGAATGGTATGAGCAGTTGGTTAGCTGAGATATGTGTGATGGTGAATTTTATGGGTCACCTTGGCCAGACCATGGTATCCAGATATCTGATCAAACTACAGTCTCCATGTTGCTGTGAAGGTATTCATTGGATCTGAATAAAAATCAGTAGACTTTGAGTAAAGCAGATCACCCTCCATAATGTGAGCCTAACCCAACCCGAAAACCTCAGAGAGGGAAGAACGTCTGCTTCCAGACTGTCCTGGGACGGGGCTCAAGACTGCAATGTCAACTCCTGGTGAATGTCCCAGTCGGCCAGCCCATGCTGTGGATTACACACTTGCCAGCCCCCACAATGTTGCGGGACAATTCCTTAGAATTTTCTGTCTCTTTCTTACTCTCTCTCTCTGTATACATGCGTATGTGTGTATATATATGTACATACATATATGTAAAAAGGGACCCAGTTGGGTCCCTTTTACCTTCTTGGGCCCCCTTACCTGTGCTCCCGTGGTCTAGAGGATCAGGGAGCCCCAGCCCGACACAAAGAGCTCGGCCGCAACCGCCCTCAAAATGGTAGCCCATGGGGCTTGTGTCAATCACTAAGTCGCATTGAAGTCCAAGGTGCTAGGGAGGTAACTGCCCACAAAAAACAACCACATTCTTTTTCTAAAAGCACAAGAATGGCGTTTCTCTTCATGCATCAACAGGGGTTAGCCTATTTTGCATGCTAGAAGATGATGCATCTTCTCAAATAGACGTCGCAGAGAAGCCAATGCTTATAAAGCAAAGACTCAACGCTGATGGTTTTAATTAGTGCACAGCACAAAGCTCAGAATAGACGGGGAGCCACTGCCCAAATGCCCATCCAATTAGCGGCCTGGGGAGTCATCCGCCTTCTGAATTATGACAGGACATCACGTGTGTGTGTGTGTGTGTGTGTGTGTGTGTGTGTGTCTGTGTGTGTCTGTGTGTGTCTGTGTGGTGGGGAGGGGGTGGGATGGGGAGGAGAGAGAGAAGATCACATGCTACAGTGGGGAGGGGTGGACAAGGACGGTGGGGGATGGGAGGAGCCAGTTGTTCCCGTCACTGTGACTCACTCAGAGGCTCCCTCCCTTCTGTTCCTTTCACCCCTAAACCAGCCAGGGGAAGACCTCTAGGGCAAGGGTGCAGATGTTCAGGGAAAGTGATCTGCGGGAGAAACCGGACCTTCCTCCCTCCCTCCCTCCTTCCTTCCTTCCTTCCTTCCTTCCTTCCTTCCTTCCTTCCTTCCTTCCTTCGTGCTTTCTCACTCTCAAGTCGTAGCTATTTCAAGTGAGCTTTTCAGCACGGTCCTGGGACCCCAGCAGCTGTTTCCTCTGCTTCACAAACTAGGTCGGCCCCATTTCCGTCCAGCCAAATGCGCTGTCCCTTGGCACTGCCAACGATGGCAGGCTGCACAGGGCAGCGGGAGCCGGAGGCCTGCGTTCTGGTCCCCGAGCCCCCTGGCCTCCCATGACCCGGAGCTCTGCGCCGACGCTCACGTGGAACATGCGCTGCGATCTCGCCGCGGGAAGGACCGCGGGCGCTTCTTACTCCTCCAACGCCTGGGATGTCTCACAGGTGCCCAGTACAGCAATGCTCTGACTACCGCCAGGTGCCCACCGTCTCCCAGGAGTCCCCGGCGCCTCCCAGCAGCATCCCCAGCCATCTGGATGCCTGGTACCTGGTCTTCTCCTGCCTCCTTGCTCCCGCCTGGGCTGCTCTGGCCTGTGTGCCGGCGGGGGAAGAGCTCCGTTCCCGACACGAACTGAACACAGTTCAAAGCATGGCTGCCTGGGGAGTTTCATTTCTTACACAAAGCTGAATTAAAAGGTTGAATTTAATAAACCATCTCTTGGTTATAACCCCTTTCCTTGAGGCTTAGACCCCTGCATCCTGGATGCCTCTGCGTGCCTGCCCTTTGGGTTGTGCACTCAGGGTCCTGGGTCTTCCCAGAGGTGGGCAGTTCCTCATGGGCAGGACGCTTAATTTCCAGGGGGGTGTCAGCTCTGGAGCTGGGTCCTCAGGGATATCTTGATTTGTGATGCTACCAGGGCTCTACAGGACCTATGTTCTGCTGAACAGGGGGAAAGGACAGCAGAGCAGATACTGACCCTTGAGGCCATCGCTTTTGCACCTAGCAGCCATGCAAGGGAGACGATCAACTGATCAGTCCTCAGACTGTAAGTTGGCCATAGGCTGTCAGCAGTAGCTCTAGCTCCTTGGCAGAAGCGTGCTGTAAGCACATGGGAGCATAAATATATTTGCATGTGCGTCATGAATGTCTAGCCTGGTCCTCCTCTAGTATTTAGGTAATGAGTAAGTGAATGAGTAGAAATGATTAGTGAATGAGGCTCTTATTTGTTTCTCGGTCTTAGCTTTCCTTGATTTCTTTAAGTACCTGTTATCTCCATCAGTTTCTCATCCAAGTGAACTACATTGCACAGTCCTTAATTTGGAAACCATTGTCTTACCTCCAAGAAGAATCCTATAATCAGAATCTTGGGATATATAAAATGAGGTTCCAGTATTCACGTATTAAGAATAAAATGTTCTCTATCCCCCTCTCCACACCATGTTCCTCTCCACATTTGAGAAGCTGAATTATGCTTGTTATACTAAGAAAATGGGAGGAGCACAGGAGTGGTTATCAGCATGAGAAACAAGGAGAGAGAAAGAATTGCTGTTTATCAGCACGTCAGTGGTGTAAGATAAGTATCCAATTTCATTCTTTTGCATGTGAATATCCAGTTTTCTCAGCACTGTTTACTGAGGAGACTATCCTTTCCTCATTGTGTGTTCTTGGCACTTCTTCCTCATATAAGACCACCCTCTCATCTGCAGGGAAATATCTTAAAATCAGCAGTACTGCTGTAGTGCATTCAGTAGCTCACTCTTGCATAGACACGCAGAGGTGTGAGTGGGGAGAGCACAAGGCTAAAACCATTGAGGAGGCAAAGAGCATGACTGGATTCACTGACACTGTGAGTGTGCATGCCCACGTTGGTGTGCACTGTGTGTCTCTAGGACTTGCTTGTTGACATCCAACCTGCCTGCTGCTTCTCTGTGAGATAGGTTAGGCTGCCTGATCATCAACTGCCGCAGATAAAGAGGTACTTGAATAAATTTCATGCAAATTCCAGGCGTTTCTCAGCATGTTCTGGATCCATGAATTCCCAGGACTCTAAGTGAAGCAGAGACAGTGTGGCGGTGAGGCACTGACCTGAGCGAACAGAGGGCAGGGCTGGAGAAAACACATGGGCTGGGAAAAGCTTCACTTAAGGCAAACTCGGTGTGTGCAAAGGAGCACCTCTCCTTGCACTGACTGCATGCAGGGCTCTCTCCGGCATGGGCTATCTCCCTTAAGACAGGGGCCTGACTCCAAGAGGAAGAGTGCCTTCCCTTCTTCCCTGTCCTTTATGGTCATCTGTAAAATGGCAATGTGCATTCCCTCCCTGATGGGAGGGGATCCAAGTCTCTGAGCACTCCTGAACTCAACGTGGGGAGACAGCTATAAAAGTCTGTTTTATTTTATGTCTCCTTATTTTTATTATGTAATCAAATTTCCTTATATCTGCCTTTATCTCTCTATATTACAGGCCTAAGACAAAGCTCACATCTTTTCCTATCTCCCTTCTGTCGATCACTATTCAATCCATTCCATGTCCTACTTCCTGCAGGCCCCAGCTCTCTTGACTGTCAAGGTCCTCAACCAAGCCAGTGGTAGACACAGCCTAGGGCTGTACGAGTTATCCTCAGGCTGCAGAGCACAGAGGGAAAGGACCTGCTCAAGAGGCAGCATCTGGAAGAAGCTAAATCAAATGCTGAACACGCTGCCCTTGTAGAGGGGCTAAGTAGAGAGAGAGATTGAAGGGATGAGCTGACAAGACAGAAACCACAGAAACCAGACGAGAGAGATTTCAAAGCAAAGGCCTGCGAACGAAATCTAAGAAACTCTCCGTGTCAAGAAAATATGTCTAACAGTTGAGTATCATGAATGAGCTAGTCAGAGAAGATCATCCCTGCTGCACGCGTAGGGGATTACCCATCCAGGGAAAAAAGCACCTAACCGGGGGAAATGCAGCATGCCTGTTATGGACTGAATGTTTACATTCTCCCCAGATTCGTACTTTGAAGCCCTAATTCTTAATGTGATGGTGTTTGGAGATGAGGTGTTTGGGAGGTAATTAAGGTTAAATGAGGTTGTGAGGGTGGGGCCATAACCGGGTAGGGCTGTGCCCTTATAAGAAGATGAAGAAGTGCCAAGAACACACTGCGGCTAAAGGATGTCTCTTCAATAAATGGTGCCGAGAAAAACTGAATATTCACATGAAAAAGAATAAAATTGGACCTGTATTTTACGCCACGCATGAAAATCAACTCTAAATGAGTTAAAGACTGATATGTGAAACTATAAAAATCATAGAAGAAACCATAGGGAAAGCTCTTTGACAATGGCCTTAGCAATGATTTTTTTTGATATCACATGAAAAGAACAGGCAACAAAAGCAAAAGAAAACAAATATGACTATATCAAACTAAAAAAACCTTATGAACATCAAAGGAGACCATCCACAAAATGAAAATGCATCCTGCGGACCGGGAGAAAATATTTGTGAACCCTATATCCAATAAGGGGTTAATATCCAAAATATGTAAGGAACTCATACACCTCAATAGCAAAAAAAACAAAAAACAAAAAACAAAAATCAATTAGAAAATGGACAACGTGGCTTGGTACGGTGGCTGACGCCTGTAGTGCCAGCACTTTGGGAGGCCAAGGCAGGAGAATCACTTAAGCCTAGAAGTTGGAGAACAGCCTGGGCAACATGGCAAAACCCTGTCACTATAAAAAAAAAAAATTAGCCGGGCATGGTGGCACATGCCTGTAGTCCTCTGTGGAGCTGTCCCTTTAAGCACAGGTCAGTGATCGGTGAAAGAAACTGGTCTGAGGAGCTGCTGGTCTAGGGGCTCAGGGTGAAGCTACCGAAAAAATGGACCTCCTCTTGACTCATGCATGCCCTCCTGGACCTTTGGCCCTCTTCCTGAGCCCTGGAAGGCTTTCCCCCTATTTCCAGGATCTGTGAATCAACAGAGCTGCAGAACCAGGAATTCAGAGGGCTTCATTCGCAGCCCCCTGGCCATTTTTAGGGGCCTCTCACTGAGTGCAGTGAGTAGATGGTCAATATTCCCACTCGTTTCTCAGGGAGGTGATATTTCAGTGCTACCCACAGGTGACCAAGGTGAGGCCCAGGCTGTGTGTTGGGTGCCTGGCTGCTGATCTATGTTAGTGAGAATCATGGGCTTCCTGTCACAAGGACTGTGCTGCTGTCAATCTCTCTAACACCCAAGTCATCATTGTAAAGGAAAAAATCACGCATCGAGAAAGAGCACATAAATAGTTTGAGAAGACCATCTGTGCCATCCTGGCTGCCTAGGAGGCTTAATGCGGTGTTTATTGAAACAAACATCTGCTGGGCATAACCTTTCCTCGACAGACAAGGGGCAGGGGAGAGGGAAGGCAAAGCTTAGGAATAACTCCATTATCTCAGCTCTAATAGAGGAAAATATGTACAGGAGGAAAGGTCAACTTGTTGAAAGAAGCAGCTTTCAATATTAGTTTTCTTCTTTGCTCTTTTCCTAATATTTGACTTTTATTGTTGACTTAAAACCTTTTTTTCCCACAAGAACTTCGCAGCATACGTTTCTAAATCATAGCTAGTTAATAAAATTTCGACCTTATCAGGCATTGAAAATGCCATTTCAAAAATCTAGCTAAGTGATATGCACAGTATATGCACATATTTATTTTATTTGCCATATTCAGTGAATGATGATGTATCAGGCACTTTAGATGCATTATTTTTTTTAAGCCTCCAAATAACCACGTGAGTTGGTGCTTTTCTTATCTCTGTTTTACAGATGAGAGAACATAGGGACGGAGGAATAGAGTAACTTGTCCAAGGTAGTTGTTGGGCACTTAGATAAGAAATACAGACTGTACTCAGTGCCTTACCTGCCCTGGCTATGAAGGAGTATATGACCTACCTTATTCCTGCTGCTGCCTCCTTTTGTGTGACTTACAGGACTGGGGTCCCTGAACTGCCTATTAGAGGTGGAGTTCAATGCCTTTTCTCATTCTCTGTTTTCTACTTCCCCCTATCCCTTTTTCCTCTCCTTTCTGATTGCAACAGAAACACTTACTTATAAGCATCTACTAGTCAATCATTCCTAAAATGTCAGAAATTATTAACAGCCGAACACAATTTGGTCCCAGTCATCGTGGGTTCCCAGTTCCATGAGAGGGATGGATAGGGTAGCAGATAATGACCACAGAGTTTGATGAATGCTCTAAGAGAAGAATGCACAAGAACTACGGAAAGCTATGGGGGCACAGGGGCAGAACCCAATGGGAGGCAGCAAATAATAGTTTAAGAGATTATCTTAAAGCAGAATCAGGAAGAGTCCAAGTTTTTCAGGAAATATGGACTAAACCATGTCCCTCCAAAATTCATATGTTGAAGCCCTTACCAGTGTGATGATTTGGAGATGAGACCTTCTGGTGGTAATGAGAGCTAGATAAAGTCGTGAGGTAGGTCTTTATATTAGTGGCTTTATAAGAAGAGAAATAGTAAGAGATCTTCTCTCTCCACCATTTAGGACACAGTCAGTAAGTGGCTGTCTGCAAGTCAGGAAGAGAACCCTCACCAGAAGCTGAATTGGCTGGCACCTTGATTTTGGACTTGCCAGCCTCCAGAACTGTGAAAAACATGCCAACATGCTTGGCTAACTTTTTAAAAAAATTTTATGGAGATAAGATATTGCTATGTCACCCAGGTTGGTCTCAAACTCCTAGCCTCAAGTGCTCCTCTTGCCTTGGCCTCCTAAAGTGCTGGGATTACAGATGTGAGTCACTGTGCTTGGCCAGTTTCCATTTAAAAATCCTCCCTTTGGCTCTTTTGGAGAATGGACAGAAGCGGGCACAAGTGGATGCCCAGTCAGAACCTGGGCTCCCAAACTTGGCTGCAGATTGAAACCCCTTGGAGTGTGTAAGATAATACTGATGTCTCAGTTTCCCCTATTCCCAGGGATTCTGATTTAATTGGTCTGGGTGTGGCCTGGAATTTGTAAAAGCTTCTCATGTGATTCTAATGGGCAGCAGTTTGTGTATCATTGAATCCAGAAGGTTAAAGATGTGATCTAGTAGCAATCTGATGGTGCTGTGCACTAATGCTGTGGCCATGAGACGCTAAGTCACGCACAGATATGTGAGATACATTTTAAAGGCAGAAATAGCAGCTTTAAAGGCACTTTGGTCATGAGTGTCAGAGAAGCAGGAGGTACTAAAGATTACTCAGAAGTGAGGGCTGAGCTACAGATAGACATTTGGGGGGCATCAATATTTGGATTGGTATTTAAAGCCTAAGGAATAGAAGCAATCACATGGAAAAGAAAATTTAGAGGGAAGAAGGTGGCAGGGATGGAGCCCTGAGGGCTGGTAGTGGAGGATTTGCCTGCATAAGAGACTGAGAAAGAGAGGGCAGGAGGCAGAGTGCATCACAGAGGGAAAGCAGTGTGTGATCTCAGTGATGGAGGCAAGCCTGGGAGAGAAGTGTGAAGTGTAGAGTCAGAGGTGAGGAGAAAGGGTTAAGAGGTTGATGAAGGTTGTTGGCCTCTTTAGGTGTGAGTAGGGCCAGAAGCCAGAACAGAGTGTGATCAAGGATGCATGGAAGCTGGAAAAAGTGGAGGCAAAGTGTGTAGAAAATTATTTCAACAAGTCAGGCTATAAAAAGGAACAAGGAGATGAAGCAGTGGCTGAAGGGGGATGCGGAATTGGGGGAGGGTCTTATAGGTTGGGAGGTACCAAAGTGGTGCTGTGTACTGATGAAAATGCACCAGCAGCTGAGAGAGAGACGAGAGAGAGAATCATCCTTGTCATCAGCATGAGAATCATCACCAGGGAAGGAAAGTCCCTGTAACAGTGAAACAGCGAAAGAACTAACATAACTAGCTCCATTTTTGTTTAAGGATCCTTTACCCATCCCTGCACATAGGCTGGGGTAATTTTAGGGTACTGAGATGATATGCAAAACAGCAATCATGTAGTTTTAAAAACTAATTCTAGGATTAAAGGAGAAGTCTGCAAACAACTATGTTTGGTTAAAGATTTATTGGAGCGTTGTGACCTGACCAAAGACAAAGAAATTCCCAACTTCTTCAGACCCTTGCTGGTGCAGAGTTGTCGACAATCATCGGTTACATCTTGATACCAAGGCCCTCCTGTTCCTCCTGACCTTAACATTAAAAAAAGCCTGGAATTTGTACTGACTTGAGACAGTATTTTAGGACACTAACCCACCATCTTCTCAGTTTGCTGGTTCTCCAATAAACATGCTTTTCCTCCCAACTCTTGTCTCTCAACGTTTGGTTTTCAACCTGGATTTGGTTACATCCTTATGAAGACCTGGCCCTGAGCCATGACAGGGACTGGCCATTGCTAGGAGAAGCAATGCCCCCTTCATTTTGTCAGGAAGAAGAAATAAGAAAGGGACAGGCCGGGGGAGCTTTGTAAATTAGTTATGAAACTGCCTTTGGAAAATTATGACTGAGACAGTGAAAGAGATCTAACGTAACCGACTCCATCTTGGTTCTAAACTTTTAAGTTGTCCTTGCTCCTTCCTGGACGTATGCTGAACTAACTTTGGGAGGAACTTAGTTTATAGTTTAAAATAAAGACGATAACAGCCTTTACCCAAAACAAACCTCCTTCTTGCCTGGGGACTAGACTGCCTTTATAGGACCAAAAAATGAGCCACAAGATTATAAATTATGGTTTAGGTGTTATGTAGCTGGAGACTACAAGAGTCTGACCCTCCCTCAACTGCTCCTAAGATCAGTGCTTGAGATATTTTCCAGACCCTGCACTTGATGGATCAACTTGCACCACCCAGATTGATAAACTGGCTCATCTGATCTTGTGGCCCCCATCCAGGAACTGACTCAGCACAAGAGGACAGCCTCAACTTCCCCTGATTTCACCTCTGACCTGACCAATCAGCACTCCTGGCTTCACTGGTTTCCCCCCACCTACTAAGTTGTCCTTAAAAACTCTGATGCCTGAATGCTCTGGGAGATTAATTTGAGTAATAACAAAACTCTGGTCTCCTGCACAGCCGGCTCTGTGTGAATCACTCTTTCTCTTTGCAATTCACCTGTCTTGGGAAATAGGCTCTGTCTAGGCAGCGGGCAAGGTGAACCCATTGGGCGGTTACAGTTATGGGGAAATGAGAGTGCTAAACTGATAGATTTCATTTTCTCAAGTAAGTATAATTAAGCAGCCGGAGTCTCAAGTGAAGGGCCAGGTAGGGGTTGGGGATGAGGAGGAGAGGTGGGAGGTTTGAGAAGTTTAGAGAAGGTATGAGGTTGCCATTGCAAAGAGAAGAAGAACATACTTATTAGAGAGTGTTGTGAGTTAGGGGCAGTGTTGTGTGTCCATTGGAAGGTGACAATGATCCATTTACAGTGACTACTAAGGTGTGTCTTTCGTTTCCATTGCCAAGGCTTAGAGGCACAGTTGCAGGCACAGAGAAAGGAGATGGTGGGCTTCATCCTGGCCTGGGGATTTGCAGGTCTTTAGTGATTTCACAAGAAAAGTCTTAATAAAGAGGGAGGGAAGCGGCTGAATTGTGGGTGGAGATGTCAGCAGGAGGTGTGGGGACCTGGAGTTGGGCTGCTCCATCTCCCTTGGAAAGAACCTGGCTGACAGCCTCCAGCTACCACACCTTTGATTCCTTCCTGAACCCTTAACAAGAGCCTGCTCTCCCAGGCTGCTCCCAGCCAATGACTGTGGGTATTGAGGTAATGGTGGGGGTACTGGATTTACTTTGGATTTTTAAAATAGTATTTGTATTGATTTCCCATTGCTATGTAAAAAATAATTACTACAAAGTTACTTAAAACAACACACGCTTACTATTTCACAGTGTCCATGGGTCAGGAGTCTAGGCACACTTAACTGGGGGTCTCACAAAGCTGCAGTCCAGGGAATGGATGGGGCTGGGGTCTCATGTGAGGCTCAGGGTCCTCTTCCAAGCACAGTTGTTTGCAGAATTCAGTTCAGTGCAGCTGTAGAGCTCACAGCAGCTTGCTTCTTGAAGGCCAGCAGAAGAGTCTGTTATCTCTGTACCAGCTTCAAAAGGCCCACCAGGATAAAATCCCTTTTGATTAAAGTCAACTGATTAGAGACTTCATTACAAAATCTCTTCAACCTTGCCAGATAACATAGCCTAATCACTGGAGTGACACCAATCATGTTTAAGACCACCCAAAACTCAAGAGGAATGACACAGCCATGCTCACCGGGAGAACGGCAGGCTCGGCCGTGGTAGAATCCCGGCTCCCAAGGCATTCATAACTGGGGAAGTGAAATAAAGTACTTCTTTTTCTTTTCTGATTGCAAAAGGAACATGAATTCATAGGGAAGAATCTAGAATCTGTAGAGATGTACAAAGAAAGAAATTAAAATCCACTCATAATATCACACTCCCCCCCCCAAATATAAACACCATTATAATTCTGATTTATTTCTTTTTATATAATGGGATCATCATTTAGAATTTTTTTTAAAAAAATTTGCCATTAGATTAAATGTTCTTTGAGAAGAATATGAATATGGCTCCCAGCACTCCATTGTGTGAATATACAGCGGTTTGATTTATTTACTTTCTCTTTTACACTTCGGTTGCTTCCATTTTTAGCTACTTGCAGATAATGTTGATGAATTTACTCCAGCACATTTAAGTGCTTGTTCAGAGCTCGCTATTCACTCAAAGCTTTAGGGGCAGAGACACTTAAAGTGATAGGGTCAGATGACAATAAAAAAAAATCAATCAGAAATGAAAAGCATCCCCAACCTGAACAAGTTATGTGAAAAATCAAATTAGTTTTTATTTGAACACAATTTTTCACACCAGTATTTATCGAGGAAAGTGAGACACCCCTACAGGGCTCTGGCTTAGGGCTTCTTGAGAATGGAGGTGGCATTTGTCTCAGGTTACCCAGACTCACACTATCACGGCCTGGTGCAAGGGTTTGATTATGCCATCAACATAGTTTCACAACAGCTCCTGGAACAAACGTTTGAAATGAAAGGAAAGGGATGAGAAAAAAGTGAAGTTGCACCAGGAATGGGCAGGAAGGCAGAGTTGGAGGATGGGGGAAAGAGGGTTCATGATGGAAGAGAAAAGGAAAAATTCCCTTTGCTGGGAGATTTGGTGGCTGAGCAAACTGTCCTAGGCTGGCATAAAACCTGCCTGCAGTAAGAAGCTCAATAAAGGGATTGAAAACCCATTGATCTTTGTGGGCTTGGGTTTCGCTTTGGTGGTTGGCTTACTGCTTCTTTTCTCCATGTTAAACACTTGGCACTTTGTGAATAGTGGTGACTCCAGGCCACACCAAGGCCTGTCATTCGGTGCTGGGTTTGGTGCACCATGGCTTGATCTTGGATCCTGTCTGAGGCGTTAGTTCCTGACAGTGCTGACTGGGCCTTGTGCCTGAGCTCACTGTTTAGCTTTATTGTAGAATGGGAGCTTCTGGGAAGGCAGCACACTGTACTTTTGGAATTTTCTAGGAGTGGATGTATGTGTGTTGTAGTGTAGAACATGGATGTGCAAGACCTCGGCAAGAGCTAGAATGCGGGGCCAGATATAACTGAGTTGCATCCAAGGAATCCCTGCAGTTGAGCCACTGGGAAATGCTAGAGGAGCTGGACCTTGGCACATTGATACCTGACACTCTGGGCAGCACATCCCTGTTCTCTTTCCAGGTATGATGGGAGCCATTTCTCCCCGAGCCTTTTGCTGTGCTGTCTCTCTCCTGGGAGCAAATTGCTGCTCCCTTTTAAGTGGGTGTGGCCTTCTTGTTTCCCCTGCTGTCTCTGTCTCTCTGTCTCTCTCCCCTCCCCTAAAAAGCTCTCTCTAGAGTAGTTATGAGCTGGGCAGAGCCAATTCACTTGCTAATTCGTGCCCAAGGCATCCAGCAAAGGAAGTCTTGCTTTTTCTTTTCCCTTTTGTAGTGATGGTGAGGACCCTAAGCTGGGTAAGGCAAGTGTGAATGTGAGTTTTGGGAAGGGTGACTCACTGGTGGTCTGTCCTCTACAAATCTCCAGGAAGTAGCTTTGCTCCTAGGACTTCAACAATCCTGTGCTTCTCATCTTTCAACCCTCACAGGACCAAGCATAAGCAAAACCAGTGGTTCTCAATCAGGGATGATTTTGCCTCTCAGGGGGCGTTTGGCAATGTCTGGAGACATTTTTGATGGTCAGTTTTGATAGTTTGATGTGGGGTGGGGAATGTGTGCTCCTGGCATCTAATGGGCACAGGCCAGGGAAACTGCTGGGCATCCTACTATTATAAATAAATTTTTGATACCACCAAAGAAATAGCACTCAAACATAAATTTAATTTTCTCAGCAAGGCAATTTTTACTTCTATAGAAGGGTGTGACTTGCAGATGGAGCAGTGGCGAGAGCACACCTGAACAGGGGAAGGGAAGGGGTTCTTATTCCTGACACAGGTAGCCCCTACTGCTGTGTCATTCCCCTATTGGCTAGGGTTGGACCGCACAGTCTAAGCTAATTCCGATTGGCTATTTTAAAGAGAGCAGGGGTACGAGCTGGAGTGGTAGGGTGAGTAGTTTGGCGGGAAGGGCGGTTACGGAACAGGTGACTCAGGATGATTCAGGTCAGAGCAGGTGACCGGGGTGACTCAGGACGGAGAAGGTGACCAGGGGAACAGATGTGAACTACTAATTAGAACTGGCAGGAAACTTGTTTACTGAAACTAGAGGCAAGGGGGCGAAGAGAACCAGGAAGTTAAACTGTAAAATGGAGAACAAAGAATAAGAGAGCTGAACATACTAACCTACTGATTCTTTGAAGAGAAACCTGGAGTTCGCTCTATTTAACACAACGAAGCGCAGTGTTATAGGAGTTATTAAGAAATTATTTTAGGCAGATAGAGAGGAAAAGGGGTCCTTGGAAAGTTGTTTCTTTTAAAGCAGCTCCAGAAACATTTCTCATCTAGCAGGAAAGCCCTGCCTCTAGGAGCCAGGCTGGCAACCTTTGATATGCAAATGCCAACCATTAGAAACTGGGTCCACCCGAACATGGTGATTCCTTCCATCTTCTTCTTGCCCTTGCCCCAACATGTGTCAGGCAACATGGCCGCCCTCACATATCCCTGTGTGTAGAACGTCCTGGTGCCCTGCATTTGCATATTAAAAGGCTAGGGTGGGAGGGCCAGTTTTTTCGCAGGCTACGTGAATGACATGCCTGGTCAAACCAATCCCCTGAGCCCTACGCAAATCAGACACCGCCTTCTCCAGCCTCCTCATATAAGCAGTCCCTGTGCTGTTGCACCTGGGGTGTCCTCTGTCAGCTTTGGAGCCCCCCTCCCTCTGTCTCTGTACAGGGAAGCTTCTTCCTTCTTTCTTCTTCCTTCTTTCTTGCCTATTAAACTCTCTGCTCCTTAAAACCACTTCATGTGTGTCCATGTCATTTTATCAAAGTCGCATGAGACAAGAGTCCTGGTGTTCCTCCACTCAGCAGAGCCCTATCAACAGGACAGCCCCTCCCTCAACCAGTAATTATTCTGCCCAAAATGTCAATAGTGCCAAGGCTGGAAAATCCTGATATAGACCAAAGTATTACCGCTATGACCCAGAAGCCTGGGTTCTGGGTTTATAGGAGAGATACTAAAGTTTGCATGGGAGCCCTTTGCCTGAACTCTGTTTAGGGCAAGAACTATGCCCTGCTTTTCCACACTTTCCCTAAAGCGAGGTCAGTGGAAACAATTCAAATATCCCCAATCTGAGAGAAAAGAAACAAACAAATGTCCACATCTATTTGGCCCGGGGTTTAACCTTCTTGGAAACACATACTCATTTACGTAACAATGAGGTGCAGGGGAAAAAAGGCCTGGCATGGCCTCACCAAGAAAGTCGTTTGGGAAAGAGTGCTAAACTGGCAAAACCAATTTCCTCCCTATCCTTTGGATGCCTGCACCTTGCCAGTGTTCAGCAACGCCTTCTGAACGCACATGTGAGCCAGTGAGTTGGTCAAAGAGTAACTGGGTGGGAGGCCTGCCCTTTCCCGGCTAGAGTTTGAACCTATTTAACTCCTTGTATCCTCAGTTTTCTTTTATTTTTTCATTATTATTTTTTTTATTTTATTATTATTATACTTTAAGTTTAGTCCTTTGGGTATATACCCAGTAATGGGATGGCTGGGTCAAATGGTATTTCTAGTTCTAGATCCCTGAGGAATCGCCACACTGACTTCCACAATGGTTGAACTAGTTTACAGTCCCACCAACAGTGTAAAAGTGTTCCTATTCCTCCACATCCTCTCCAGCACCTGTTGTTTCCTGACTTTTTAATGATTGCCATTCTAACTGGTGTGAGATGGTATCTCATTGTGGTTTTGATTTGCATTTCTCTGATGGCCAGTGATGGTGAGCATTTTTTCCATGTGTTTTTTGGCTGCATAAATGTCTTCTTTTGAGAAGTGTCTGTTCATGTCCTTCGCCCACTTTTTGATGGGGTTGTTTGTTTTTTTCTTGTAAATTTGTTTGAGTTCATTGTAGATTCTGGATATTAGCCCTTTGTCAGATGAGTAGGTTGCGAAAATTTTCTCCCATTTTGTAGGTTGCCTGTTCACTCTGATGGTAGTTTCTTTTGCTGTGCAGAAGCTCCTTAGTTTAATTAGATCCCATTTGTCAATTTTGGCTTTTGTCTGTAACAAGAGGACGGTGACATCTGCATGGGATAATTCAAAGGATTGTTTGTTGGTATTATTTTGAGGGGGCATATTTTAACACCCAACTTTATATGAGCAAGTAACAAAGTTTGAAATGTGCTTTTGAAAGCTGGTATATGTGAGGATACGTTTTGGAAGAGAGGTGCAGAGGAACAGTACACTTGGGGTACTGAGGATGCTCTGAGGCCTGGGTACTCAAATTGTGATCTGTGAATAGACCAGCTGCATGGCAACCCCTGAGAGCAAGTCAGAAATGCAGAATATCGGCCTCACCTCGAGCCCACTGAGTCAGAATCTGCATTCTAACATGATTCCCGTGGGATTCCTGTGGAGGTCTAAAGTCTGAGAAGATACCATATCTACATCCTCTGAGCTTATTTACACTTTGTTATTCAGACAGATGGCGTCCCTTTGGGTAGAGTGTGCTAAATTAGTTTTATGGACTGATGCTTTGGGTACCATTTTTTCTTCATTACAGACAGTGCCTCCCAGATCAGTTGTGAGGGAGAGTGTCTCGAATTACCAAGTCATAAATTTAATATCGGACACCATCTTCCCTTATACCCGGAACCTACAACAAATATCTTCTAGTGTTTCCAAACACAGTAGCACTTTAATGTGATATCTGGGGTTTAAAGAACCCTAGGTCAGAAGATGGGCTTTATGAATCCCCTGAAACTGTCATGTAAAATCGTGTGTGTGTTCCATTACCAGAGGAAAGAATCTATTGCTATCACCACATGCCTAAAGTGGCCTTTATTCCAAATATTGAGAACCATTGACATGAGTTCATTCGCTTGTCAAATATTCATTGAGTGCCTCCTACGTGCCAGCACTGTGTTACTACAGATGAAGAGGAGAGCTATAAGGTGGAGAATCATTGATGGTGAATCACTGATTAAAACTTAAAAAAAAACACAACAAAACTAGGAGAGAATCTGAAGAGGGAAATAAAAAATGAATCAAGACACACTGAAGAAAACAATTGAAAAATGTAAAAAGCCTAAAAATTTTTTTTCTTTCATATTGCTGGACACTTTTATTTGCACAGACACAAAATTGAAACTATACTATAGAAATGGAAACAAAGGCTGGTCACGGTGGCTCACGCCTATAATCCCAGCACTTTAGGAGGCCGAGGCGGGTGAATCACCTGAAGGTCAGGAGTTCAAGACCAGCCTGGCCAACATGGTGAAACCCTGTCTCTAGTCTCTACTTAAAATATAAAAAATTAGCCAGGCTTGGCGGCGCATGCCTGTAATCCCAGCGACTTGGGAGGCTGAGGCAGGAGAATCACTTGAATCCAGGAGGCGGAGATTGCAGTGAGCCAAGATCACACCATTGTACTCCAACCTGGGCAACAAGAGTGAAACTTCATCTCAAAAAAAAAAAAAAAAAGAAAGAAAGAAATGGAAACAAAGTAGAGGAAAAGTTATGGTGATGGATGTTTAGATAATTTTTATTAATAGGTAATAAAAATCTCTAAGCTGCTGATTCGGAAAACATAATCTAATTTGTTCCCTCAAAAAGTGTTTTTTAATTTAATTATTAGGTGGGTTAATCGTCTGTGTATCACACAACTTGTAATTTGTGTTTTTGGAGTGATATTGAATTAAAAGCTTGGCTTTCACCGAGGTAGAAATACAGTCATCTCTCCAACACCAATGAATTACTAGGAGGGCTTCCATCCTAACCTTCTTCACCTTAAATCCTTTCGCTTGTCTTCATGTTACAGGTGTGCAATTTGCTTCCTGCCCCAGCCCTGACCCTGAGATGCAGCATGGAGGGAGTAGAGGGGTGGGGTTTGCGAAGTCACTTCCAGTCATCGTGGGACCTTTATGGAAACCTGGGCTCCACTCCACAGGATGAGTCTCAACTGGAACCCTTGCCCATTGGGCTCACTGTTCCAATCTAAAGGGCAGGCTTTCCACTACTCTTTGGGACTTGTAGTTTGTGGGTTTTTTTCACATGCACATCATCTTACTTACAGTTCCCCAAGAATAAAAGCTTTCCATCTCAATTCTGGGCACTCTAAGTTTACCTGTATTTCCTTTTCACTTTAAACAAAGGTAGTCATAGGAGCCCGTCATTTCCCATGACTCAGGGAATTGAGTTCATGTTGCTTGCCTTGTGAGTGCTTACAGCCTGTATGTCATAGCATTTAGAAATGTCACTGAACCTAGGTTCGGCTGCTCGCTCCTTGAGAGCCAAACTGGAGACACAAGAGTTGGTCGGAGGAGAAGTAGGTTTATGAGGAGCTGGCAACCTGAGGAGATGGTGGGCTAGTGTCACAAAGACCATCTCGAATTTCTCAGGCTGGCCAGGGGTGTTATGCGAGGGGGAGTCTGGGGGAATTATGTACAAGAGCTGAATACATGCTGGTCAGTCTGTCTAGTCTCAATGACTGTCTTGAATAATGGGCCACCTGGTGGTCTGGCTGGCATTAGCTTGATTGCAACAGGAATACAGATGAACGGCTCAGCCTTCTTTCCAGAGTGGGATGTTCTGCAACCTGGATTCCATGCTTAGCGTTTCAGGTCAGTCCCTGCAGTTCTTTAAGCAAAGCACGTGAGTTAAGCATCATCAAAAACCTAGCATAGAAAGAAGGGGGATAAAAGGAAAAAAAAGGAAAATAATTGTTTTTCCAGATAAGGTGGTAGTTTCTGTTACAGAAAGAGCCCAAAGTTTATAGATAGAATCCAAATGTCTCATGTTATAGGCGAGGAAACTGGTTCTGAGAAGTCAAACTTGAAAACAGCAGAACAAAAACTAGAACCGTTTTTCCCAACTTACCTTCAGGCGCTCTCTTCACATCACAAAATGTCTGGAAACATCGACATCTCCTTTCCCTGCGTCCTTTCTGGACATGGTTTGATGGCTCCTAACAGTGCCAGGCACACAGCCAGTGTTCACTTCCTTCTTGTGTAAACAATCAGACTCAGCCTCTCTCTGAACAACCACTTAATCCGAAGAAAGGAAGCCAACGTGCCCACAGGTCATTTTCTTAGCTGACTGAAGACTGGAGGATGGATCCCAGAGCAGCAAAGACGTATTCAATGTAGACCTAAGAGAAAGAGGAAAAGGGATGTCATGGCTCATTGTGCCTGAGAGACTCCATGTCCTCCCATGTGACCAGGGTTCCACTTTTCCAGATAGCACCTTGCTGAAAGATTTCTCCAGTGCCAGGAAAACTGTGCACTGCTCAAGTTTTCCCACCTTAACAAAAAGGTCATCTCATAAAGAATCTATTTGGTCACTAAGGGCCACACAGCAGGTTATTTCCTAATATTCATTGTCCCTTTCTTCTATAGAAATAGAATCTTTAGACCGGGCGCAGTGGCTCATGCCTGTAATCCCAGCACTTTGGGAGGCAGAGGCAGGCGGATCACCTGAGGTCAGGAGTTCGAGACAAGCCTGGCAAACATGGCGAAATCCCGTCTCTACTAAAAATACAAAAGTTTGCTGGGCATGTTGCACCTGTAATCTCAGCTACTCAGCAGGCTGAGGCAGGAGAATTGCTGAACCTGGGAGGCAGAGGTTTTAGTGAGCCAAGATAGCACCACTGCACTCTAGCTTGGACAACAGAGCAAGACTCCGTCTCAAAAAAAAAAAAAAGAAAAAAGAAAAAGAAATAGAATCTTTAACCTGGGCACAGGCTGAAGAACAGAGAAAGATTCTGTTCTCCAGCTTCCAGTGCATTGAGTGCAGCCATGTGATTGAATTCTGGCCAGTGGGCCCTGAGGGGCTGTGTGGTATGCTGTTCACCTCCATGGGAAGGTGTGTGTGCTCCTGTCTCTTTCTTCCTTCTTGCTGGGTGGAATGCCAGTGTGACAGGGGCTATCATGGAAATGGGGATGCCACAGAGCAGCAAGGTCAAGGCTGACAGGCAAGACGATTGTCTCAGTCAGCTCGGGTTGCCATAACAAAATACCACAGATAGGATGGCTTCAACAACGGGAGCTTATTTCTCAATGGGAGCTTATTTCTGGAGGTGGGAAGTCTAAGATCAAGGTGCCAGCCAATTCGGTTCCTGGTGAGGGCTCTCCTGCTGGTTTGCAGAGGGTTGAGTTTTTGCTGTGCCCTCACAAGGCAGACAGAGATCTCTGGTGTCTCTTCTTCTTATAAGGACACATACCCTATTGCATAAAGGCCCCACCCTTATGACCTCATTCAATCTTAACCTTTAACCTCTCAAAGACCCCATCTCCAAATGTCATCACATCAGGGGTTCAACATATGAATTTTGCAGGTTTGCGGGGAGATACAAAATTCAATTCATAAGAAAGACACACATCACAAGCAAGGTCCCCATGCTTGCTTGGACTTTTGCGTGATTGAGAAGTGAATTTCTAACCTGTTACACTACATTTGGGAACTTTTTTACATCCAGAGAAACTTATAATTTAATCTGTATAGTAACTTAGGTTTCATTCTTACTGACATCACACTAATGTTTGTTCTTGCCATTGTTTTTTGGTGCCTAGCGTAAATACTCACTGAAAGAAAGCATGCAGTGGTTCTAACCAGACACAGGCATCTAGGCAACAGGTGTGAGAATTCCCACATGGCCCTCCCCACATGCGGTGTGATGCATTCTCATCAGAAGGCAACTGGTTGGACTGTGAATGGCTCACTGAATTGCTGATTGCAGAGCACCTCTGGGTGGGTTCCATGCACCCTCCAGCCTGTGGACCATAGCAGAACACATCTGGAAGGCTTTCATTTTTTTTCTTTGGAAAAGAGGGAAAGAGGAAGACATGACATTGAGTGAGAAAATGAGCGTATATTTGTTTGCTAGAGCCGCCATAACAAAGTACCACAGACTGAGTGAACTTAAACAACAGAAATTTATTATCTCACAGTCTGGAGGCTGGAAGTCTGAAATCAAGGTGTTGGCAGAGCCATGCTTCCTCTGAAGGCACAGAAGGATCTGTTGTAGGCCTGTCTTCCAGCTCCTGGGAACTCCTGTGGCAGTGTAACATCAACCTTCACTTTGACGTGGTGTTCTCCCTGTGTAGAGGATGTGTCCACATTCTGCATGTCTCTGTGCCTAAATTTCCTCTTTTATAAAGACATCAGTCATATTGGATTAGGGTCCACCCTAAGGACCTCGTTTTAACTTAACTAATTACATCTGCGATGACTGTATTTCCCAATACGGTCACTTGGGGTTAGGAGTTCAACATATGAATTTGGTTTGGTGGGGACACAACTGAACTCATAACAAAAGGTAAGAACTAACAGAGTATTTCAGCCAAACGGTTCCAGCCAACTGCTAGCAGGAGAGGAGACCAAAGGTGTGTCACAGAACGGCAGAGAACCAGGTATGGTGCATCATCCTAAGAGGGAGTAATGAGACAGAGCCTTGTGGTTTCTGCAGTGAAGGCTTGATCTCAACTAATGCTGTCTTCATTGCAGCATGGCCAATGATGACCAGGGTTGCAGAGTTTTCCGTGGAGCTCCAGGACCCAGAAGCCAACTGCTGTAGCTCCTCGTTGATGCTCTGTCTCCTGCATGCCAGCTGCCCTCCATCCCTTCCTGGGAGCCATGGATCAAAACTATTACTGCTGTCTCTGGAGGCCAAACACCAGAGGCTGGTGTTTTGTTTTAGAAAATACAGTTTATCCCTTTTCAATGACAAAAGAAATAATGTTCATTATAGCACAGTTGGAAAAAGCACCAAAGTTAAGAGCTCATAGGAAAATCATCCCTAATTCCAAGACCCAGACAACCCCTGTAAAATTTTGACTCATATATTACTCCTTTTTGTCTTCTTTTTTAAGGCATATTTTACAGTCTGTACCACAGCCTCTCTGTATCTACATACTTAGATTTTCCACATTATATAATGGATATTTCCTATGTTATTATAAATTATTCTTAAACATTCTTTCAATAGTTGTATAATATTGAGGATGACTAAATCATAATAAAGAGAAGCTGCTATTTTCTGCTTTCCACACACTATTCCAAGCAATGTACATACATTCTTCCCATGTGACTCTAGCAAAAGCCCAGTGAGGTAGGAATTAGTCTCATCATATAAATTGATAAGAAAATTGAGGCTCAAGGTTTTAGCAATGTGTTTAACAATGCTTATTAAACAGCCAAAGCGGGATTTAGACACAAGTTGGCTTGACTCCACTTTCCATGCTTCTAATCACTGCCTAATTTCTCTATTGCTGGACATGGAGTTTACCTCCTCATTTTTACTGTCGTGAATACTGCAAGGCACATCTTTGCACAGAACATTTTATTTCCCCTGTATTTTCTTATGATAAATTCACAGAACTGGAAATACTAGAGCCAGGAATTGAACATTCAAAGAAACCCCACCATTTTTGTTACTGCTAATTTGTTTTCCGAAAAGGTTGTGCCAATTTACATCCCTTCCAGCACTATAGGAGACAGCAGATTTCCCCACACTCAGCACAGGACGGTCTACTCTGTGAACTTCCCTGCTATTTATGATAGCTGGAAATGGATTGGTTTTTTTGTGTTTCTTTTTGCATTTATTTGAGTATTAGTAAAGTTACACATTTTTCCTTTTCTTTCCCCCCTTTTCCTCTTTTTCCTTTTTAGAAACAAGATCTTGCTCTGTTGCCCAGGCTAGAGTGCAGTAGTGCAATCATAGCTCACTGCAGCCTTGAACTCCTGGGCTCAAATGATCCTCCCACCTCAGCCTCTCGGGTAGCTGAAACTACAGTCATGTGCCACCACACCAGCCAATTTTTCAAAAAGTTGTTGTAGAGACAGGGTCTTGCCATGTTGCTCAAGCTGGTCTCAAACTCCTGGGCTCAAGTGATCATCTCACTTTGGCCTCCCCAAAAGTTTGTGGGATTACATGCATGAGCCACTGTGCCTGGCTAAGTTACACATTTTTCGATGTTTCAAGTCGTTTGTATTTTCTACTAAAAATTTGGAGCCATTTATTTGTAATGGTCTTAGTATTTAATTGAACCACGTGTAATTAAAATTTTTGTAAGTCAAACATTGTTGAATATCATCTCAGCCAAATGTTTTTTCAAATGCATTAAGAATATTAATTAATTTAGATACATTGGCTATAGATATTTTTGTTGATGTTTTGATATAGAAGTTTTAATTGCCAAAATGAGCATCCAATCATCTGGAAATTCTCTGAGTAATGAAGATGGCATGCTAATGATTGCCATGGACTATTTTTTAAAAAAAACTTTCCTGCTTTTGTGTTTTATTTGTCCCTTTTGTTCTTCCTACTCTTCTCCTGACCCCTCAGGATTGAATCCAGAAAGATGTATTTTCATGAGATAGGTGAAGGCTGGGTATCAATTTTGGAGAATAGGAAATATCATTGGAAGAATTACAGGTGCCAGTAACACAAGTTAAAACAGTACACCTTTATTATCCTTGATGCCATACACAACTAAAACTGTAGCCTGACAGCATTTGGGGCATAGCTTTAGCTGTAGCAACTAAGAAGATCTTTAAGGGGTGATCATGGCTTAAGTGTGCACATATGCCCTGCGTGACACTCACATACGTTGCCTCAGCGGAGAACTCACTGGCTGTGTCTTACTCTGAGCCAAACAAAGACAACGCCAGCCCATCTGGCTCTGAAACAATTTAATATCTTCTCTTTCCTGTAGGTAGACAGAGAACCATTTGAAAGTTAACTATCATGACTGCATATTGCACACACATTTTTAAACTTCTAAAAAAAAGAGAGAGAGAATGGCTACAATGAAGAGCGTCAAGTCCGCTTGTCAAATCTTGTGGTAAGAGGACGAGAAATGCTACTTCAGTAGCCACGAGTATTTCTGAGATCGCTAAGTAGCACTTGCTTTTAACATCTGCTGTTCAAGACCCTCATTTGTAGCAGCCTTTTCTGTTTGCTTCTGTTCACATGCGGAGGCAGGTGGGGTCAGATCCAGTTCAGGTTTCTTGAGCCTCTGATTAAAATGATTCACACCAAATCTCCCTTGGCCCCAAATACATCTTCACATCAAATACTGGTTATCTCCTATAAAACTGGGAAGCAAATCTAGGCTCCTTCAGTGTGCAAGGCTTTGATCGACCCAGTGGATCTTGCTGCTTTCCTAAAGCATCAAGGAGACTGCATTTCGTTTTCACAGTGTGGCTCCCAGGAGGGGAACTGAAAGCATTACAGATGATGTGTCTGCAAATACAATAAAATGTTCTTAGTGGGCGAGGAGGACATTTCCGACCCACGGTGCAGAGTGGATGAACTCACTGTTGGTTTTCCCGGGAAGAACACGGCTATTGTCACTTGGCTCCTACTTGGCGGATGCCGGCTAGGCTGGGGCGCAGTCAGTGAAGAGGAACAAAGTTTTCCTCTGTGCAAAGCTAATTGACCCATTCCCGGATCAAACCTGCAACCTCGGCCTTCTTGGCACCAGCCACAGACTGACTGAGCTAACGGGGACAAACTGTTTCCAAGTCATGTAGGAACAAATCCTTCGGAGCACAAGGCGTCTGCTGCCCGGCACAGGCTTCTCAGCGAGACCTTGGTGAATGGGCTGGAATCTCTGCACGGAGCAGCCAATTGGCAGGCAACTGACAGCCGCTGGCCTTTTGCACACAGGGCCTCACTGGAGCTGTACTTTGTTTTGCTGAAGGTGACTTATTCACACATCCCAGATGTTCCCTGTAACCGAGAGCCCTGGAAACAGCTACCGAAAAACACATGTGTTTTCTAAAGGCCTGACAGAAATAAATATGAGCAAACAGCCTGAGGTTGCTGTCTGATCACCAGGCAGTCTAAGGGCTGACCCCATCTCTTCATTTCCTCTCTGTGCTGCTGGGCCTCCCTTCCCTAATGGGGCAGGATCTGAACAGCTCTGGTTGTAGTTTTAGGGTTTGCTGTAAGTAGTTTGAATGTAATAAACTCATAGAAGAACATTAAAAGTGTTAAAAAGAGGGCAAGGAGAACAGAAAAAGCTGGTATTAGCTTGAAATGAATATGTGGAAAATGCAAGTATACTTTGAAAATGATAGCATCGTCTCATATTTGCTTTCGATTAAAACTTATACAGGCATTTTCTCCCTGCGGAAGCCTAAAGCTCTCCCTTGGAGGAATGTCAGCAGTGACACCTAGGTAGCCTCTGGCAGCTGAGGGGTAAGACACAGGAAATCAACCGCACGAATGCATTTGTCCTCCTCCTGGGACCCGGGCCCAGCTGTGCAGGATGCGTAATGCCCCTCTTAGGTTCTCTCGGCATCTCCCTAACTGGCTGCCTCGCTTCCACTTCCTTTCTGTCCAAATCCAGCCTGCAAATGGCCATGACACGGATCTTCCCAGGGCCTCACCAGCAATAAGTCGTTTCCCTACATGAGATGGCTTCATGCTCCACCATGTGAAATGCACGGGGAACAAACAGCAGTTGCCTCTCCTTGGCTTTTGAGACCTTCCCCTGTCTGCCATAATCCTACTTTCCAAACCCTCTCCTGACCCCACCAGGGTTGCCTCTGTGGCCCCCGACTCTTCCTGTTTCCCAGACCAGGTTGGACCCCATTAGAAACTTCGTGATGTTCTGCACCTCCTCTTCCCAGCCCTCCTCACAATCCCAATTCTCATTTAACCTCTTGTCCGCTTCTGTGAGCTCCCTGTGAGGGCCAGAGCTGAGCCATCTTCCTCCCTGTGTGTCTGCAGTGTCTGGTAAGGAGGTGCTCTGTGAGTCTTTGCCGGTTGAAGGAATGACTCCTCTTAACAACCAGCTGGCCCTGCCTTTTAATACTCCACATCCATTCTGTTTCGTCGTTTCTACCCCTAAGACTATGCTCCTGTTGCTTTCTCTACCTGAGAAGGCCTTCCCTCTTCCCATCCACATCCCACTTACCTTTGCTAGCCCCCACTCAGTTCTTTATCCTGTACAAGGTCGCCCTTGACCCCTGATCTCTGGCCCATCTGATCTGCCCTGAGTTCTCCCGCTTCCACATTCCTAGGGCACTCCCTGCACCACGGATGCAGGCCCTAACACATGCTACCTTGCAGTGTGACCTGAATTTTCCCCAAGTCTGGCCTCCCTTATCAAATCTGTATCCACCTTCCTAAATTCCTAAGAGCCCTGAGCAGAGCTGAGCACAGACCAGCTGTTCGATAAATGTCTGACTCACTATGATTGGGCAACTTTCCTGCCTCTCTCTGATTATCTACATCCTGTCCATTGTTCCAAGTCTGGCTTCCTTTGAGGTAGCTTTGTGGATGATGCCCACGTTGACCTCATGCCTGGCTCATGGTGTAAATCCACACTTTGTGGAACTCTCACCCCTTTTGGGATGACATGCTTGAGCACACACTCCCAGTAAACACACATAGTCCATGATCTGTGAACTTGACGTGGGTCCTGTTGTACCCTGACTCTCTGGATCACTGGTCTACTCTCAGGGGAACACAGAATGCACACTGGCGGCCATGGGGCTTCAAGGCACCGCTTGGCACTTTAGCCCATCTCATGTTGCTCTTGGACACCAGAGAACATAAGGCCTAAAATGTGTGGCTGGGGGTGTTGCCTTTTTGGGATAACTTTCTGTGCAAGTTGGAACTTCTGGTCCTGTTGTTTGACGCATGTATCTCTCAGTATAGGAGGCTGATGGTGGAACCCTTTGAGACCAGGAAACCCAACACCAGGAGACCAGACATTTTACTGGACACAGACAGACACTTATTTTAAAGATGCCTACTGCGCCTGGCACAGAGTAGAAACTTAACATAAGTTGATTTAAATTAAAAGCAATTGTGATCCTTGATGGCCAGCGCCCTACCTCATTGTACTGAAATGTCCTTTTAATGTGAACCTCGTTAAAAAATTTTGAAAATCTACATACTCCTTCAGACATTTTTAAATTGACATCTAACATCTTCATCATCATAGGGTTAAATAAGTTTACTTCTTATTAACAGGAGATAAAAAATGTTAAATATTTTATATGGTAAAATAAGATGAGAATTGATTATAATTGGAATACATATTTTATATTATTTCAAAAAAATATTTTCATTAGTTTATTGATTAAAGGATGACATATCGGAAATATATCAGGTGAAATTTTTGTTTGTCTGATTTATTGTATTTTGAAAAATCCACTCATCCTGCAAAAAATTCCAGTTACATTTATTTAAATGGATCAGTATCGCAGCCCTATATGACTTAGACATTCTGAATTATGAGCCCTCATGGGCCAATATGCCTTCTCTCTTGCAGAAATACGTATAAGACAGGAGAAGGCAGAAAGCCTTGTGAGCTCAAGGGCCTTGATTTATCTTTAAGTTTATCTCATTGCTTTAAACTCCCTCCTGCAGCAAAGCACCAAAGCAAGATTTGGGATGGATAAAGGATACATCTTTTTTTCTAAAGTGAGAAAAGCTACATTCTGAACATAGCTCATTTTCAAGCTGATTAATATTAGAAAAATACTACTGGAAATTGATTCCCCTGTAACTATCCTTGCCTGAGTATTATGGGGAAAGTCTTCAGGTCCCCCAGGTAAATGTGCACCTAGTTGGAGGAATGTCGGCCCAGGCTGCCCACCTAGTGATGAGACAGGTAGAACAAGGTGAGCATAAGTGCTGCCCGGGCTGGGAGCAAATGCCTTTCCTTGGTTCCACGGAGAGGGTGGTCCTTATCTTCATGGAGAAGCAGCTAATTGGCCTGTAATGAACACAGACAGAAATGAAAGGGTTTCTAAGCCAGGGACATGCAACAGAGTACAACACCTCTCAGAGGAGCAGAGGGCAGAGTGGTGGGCAGGCAAGGCTGAAGCAGAGGTGAGGAGGGAACAAAAGGCAGGGCACAGGAGCCAGCATGGCCTCAGGGTCAGACTCGCTTAGGTCAAGTGCACCCTGGTTCTTTTTGTCAGCCCTGCCCTGGGAAACCTAGAGCTCAGACTCCTGGGTCCCCAACTTACAGCCTTGTCCTACAGAAGGAAAACTGTACAGCTTTTGCAGCATGACACGCTGTGAATACAGTCTGGCCTCATCCTCTGTGGCTCTGGCACCTCCACAAGCCCCTGGCTCATGCTCTGGTCCCTGTGTCTTGTTCTTCTCAGACAAACCACACTCTGCCTGGCTTGAGTGCCCAAGCTGTCCCTCCTCTGTGTAGAATGACCTCCCTGTTAACTCACAAGTCATTGTTTCTGAGCCTTCTTTCTCTAGCGTGTCCGTTCCTACCTTCCCCCTTAGAGCAGAACTTTTCAAAGTGGGGTCCACTTCTGTGCCAGCATTACCTGGGACTTTTTGTGGGGAAAGAGAGTCGATTCCTAAGACACATCTGGAGATGCTGATTTGGTAGATCTGGAATTTGAATATGTAATATTGGAACTCCTGGGACAATGTCTGGGAAGCTCAATTTTTATAGACTGCCCAGATGGCCGGGTGCTCCTATATTTCCTAGAGCTTGGGATCCACCAGGATGCAGCTGGTGACTTCCTCAGTGTTCCCGGGCTCTCTTCAAATCTCTACTGGAGCACCTGCCATACCATACTGTAATTTGTTTATCTTCCTGTCTCCACTAGTGTCTGAACCCTCAAGAAGAGCATTGCCCTTCATCTTTGTTGACTCCACACCAGAGCAGGGCCTGGCACATAGTGGTGTTTGATTGTTTGGTGGTTGCTATGGTTTGAATGTCTGTGTTCCTTCAAAATGTATGTTTAAATTTAATGCCCAATGCAATATACTAGGAAGTGGGACCTTCAGGAGGTAATTAGGCCATGAAGGCTCTGCCCTCAAGGATGGGATTAATGCCCTTATAAAAGCGCTTAAGGGAGCAAGTTTGTTCTTTTTTTCCCTTCCACCATGTGAGGACACAGCAAAAGGTGCCATCTGTGAAGCAGAAAATAAGCCTTCACCAGACACCGAATCTGTCAGCACATTGATCTTGGACTTCCCAGCCTCCAGAACCGTAATACATTTTTATTATTTACATATTACCCAGCCTAAAGTGTTTTGTTGTAGTAGCAAGAATGGACTAAGACAGTGATCAACGTGTTGCTGGTAAATGGTATACAAGAGAGAACGCGAATATCGTCAGAGTTCTCCTTCCTGGGTATCAGCATCAATGAACATAATGCTCTAAAACTTGAAGAGAACCACCTGCTGGAATCTAGGATCAAGCTAAAGGGCTTTGCAAGATGCAAAAGGCAGACCCAGATAGAAAGAGACGGTGCACCATGCCTGACAGCCATTTCTCCTTTCTTCCTCAGTAACGAGATCTGAGTTTACGAAAGGCAACAATGCACCCAGCAGAAAACTCCACCTCACAGTCGCCCTTGTAAATAGGGTGACTGAAGAGATTTAACAGAAGTCACTGTGTCTGCCCTACCTTCTTGCAGCCTGGAACACTGACTACAGTTGCAGCAGCCATTCTACAACCAAGGATGGATGCCCTGAGCAGGGAACAGAAAGCTAGACAAAGCCAGAGTCTCCATGACATAATGGAGCCAGCATGTTGGCCATACATTGCCCACCTTTGGGCTTCTTTTACATGAGACACAAAACAAACAACCATGAAACCCCTATGTCGTTTAAGCCACTGATAGATAGGTTTTCTGTATATGCATTTGATCCTACTCTTGACTAAATCATATGGGTTGAGATTATTAGTTTTGTGAGCCGATCGTCCATTATAAATTTCTTGTTTGGTGTCTACTTGACCTGAGAGATGCAAGACTCACCTTCCACTCTTACAATTGCTGTGCCCAGTTCCTCAGGGTCCTTGGTGCTCTCTGCCCAATGCTATTCAATCTTTTAAGTTACTTGAAGAGCAAGAAGCTGGGCTCACTAGCTACTTGTGATATCAACCAAAAGGGCCTTCAAATTCTTCAGTAAACCTGCTGTGCTTGGGAAACCCTGGAGGGTGGTCATGGGCTCTTTAATTTGTACCCAGAGGAAACACACAGCTGGGAACTTATTATTCCTGGGATCTTCTTCCTCAAAGGCAGTCACCTTTGAGTTTTAATTATATAGGCTTTAATCTTCCAGTTTGCAGTTGACACTAACGTTTTGTTGGTAGTGAATAACAAGCTTATAAGGGAAAACTAGGAAAATTTCACAATTGTATAGGAGGAGGAAGTGCAAAACTGTTTATTTTTGGGGGGAGGGAGTTCAAGGTTTAAGGATTTCAAGTCTCCTGAGTGGGTTTTTGATGTAAACAAAGATAATAAGCAAGAATATCAAGATAAAGCTATTAGCATCATTTTAGTTCCAATAAAATGAAGATATGTCTATAAGTCTGGTCCAGAGTACTGTACTGTCTATAAACCTAATCTAGCCAAGGGAAGTCCTAAGAATCCACACACAGTGATCAAAACAGTAGGAAGGAGGCTGGGTAAAGGCACTAACATGGACTTTGGGGGTGAAAGAGAACTGGGTTTAAGGCACTAACATGGACTTTGGGGGTGAAAGAGAACTGGGTTTAAATCCCTCTTTTGCCATCTGTCGTGAAATGAGGGCACACTACCTATCTGGCAAGGTTGTCATGAGAATTAAATAGGAAACCACATGTATAAGGGGCTGGCCATAGAGAACACAGGATGTGGCATGGGAGAGTGAGCAAGGTCAGATTAGGGTGTGCTTTGCCATCCTAGACACGGTTGTCTGAATCTAGACTCCTTTACTTACTTGCCCCATGACCTTGGACAATTTTCTCCTTTACAAAATGGGGCCAGTAATGTATCTTACCGATAGGGTGATTGTGAAAATTGTGTGACATCCTGACTCCTCATTCTTTCTTTTTCCTCTGAATCCCAAATTGCTGAGCCCTTCTGGAGAAAGTTAAGAGGTGGAAATTGATTGACCCTCCAACACCGTTCTGCAATGTTGGCATTTCAGAGGAACAATCTTTCATTTCATTCCCAATTTCCTACAAACCGCCTACCACAACTGTTCCTGTTCTTACTTCTTTAACACCTTAAACTTTGTCCTATCCCCTTCTTTCAGCCAAAGACCTCGCTACCCACTTGGTAGATCAGGGTCACTCTTGTAGACTCCTGAGTGCAATCTCTCTCCCCTTCCTACTTTATGTGGGTCTTTACCACTCTGTCTTATCTATGAGAAAGACTTGTTTTCTATTTGAGATCCCTCTACCCCTAATTCCCAAACCAAGACATTTTTTCTACCCCTTGTGCCTGTTAAATGGCACTTAGGCATTCAGAAAATAAACACATTAAGTACCAAGGGGTTACCAAGAGCCCCTTAAAAGTTCTACCTTCCTCAAATTCAGTGTTTTTCACCCTATGTGCTCTCTCCTTGTCTGTCTCATGTCCTCTTGGGATCCTGATATGTCTCTTTGCAGTAAGTTTGTGAATCTAACTTTCCTTCTTTTTTGTTATTGAAGACCCAGAGTTTCATCTGTCAGCTGGATACCTCCATGTGAATGTCTCAGTTACCTCCAGCTCAACAAGCAGCTGAACACATGATCTTTCCCATTGAACTTGGGGTCAGCCTCCCAAGAAGCCAGGCT